>NC_000022.11:12954788-12977325 GCF_000001405.40 Homo sapiens
AGCATTCTGAGAAATTACTTTGTGATGTGTGCATTCATCACAAAGAGTTGAACCTTTCTTTTGGTTGAGCAGTTTTGAAGCACTCTTTTTGTAGAATCTGTAAGTGGATATTTGGAGTTCTTTGAGGCTTATGGTGGTAAAGGAAATATCTTCACACAAAAACTACACAGAACCATTCTGAAATACCTCTTTGTGATGCTTGCATTCATCTCACATAGTTGAACCATTCTTTTTATTGAGCAGTTTTGAAACAATCTCCTTGTAGAATGTGCAAGTGGATATTTGGAATGCTTTGATGAGTATGGTGGAAAATGAAAAATCTTCACATAAAAACTAGACAGAATTACTCTGAGAAACTTCTTTGTGATGTGCACATTCATCTCACAAATTTGAAAATTTCTTTTGATTGAGCAGTTTTGAAACGCTCTTTTTCTAGAATCTGCCAGTGGTTATTTGGAGTGCTTTGAGTCCTATGGTGGAGAAGGAAATATCCTCACATAAAAACTAGAGAGAAGCATTCTGAGAAACTTCTTTCTGATGTGTGCATACATCTCACGGAGTTGAAACTTTCTATTGATTTAGCATTTTTTATACACTTTTTGTAGGATCTGCAGTTGCTATTTGGAGCCCTTTGGGGCCAATGGTGGAAAAGTACTATCTTCTCATAAAAACTAGACAGAAGCATTCTGAGAAACTTCTTGGTGATGTGTGCATTCATCTCACAGTAGTTGAACCTTTCTTTTGATTGAGCAGTTTTGAAACGCTCTTTTCGTTGAATCTGCAAGTGCATATTTAGAGTGCTTTGAGGCACGTGGTGGAAAAGGAAATATCTTCACATAAACACTAGACAGAAGCATTCTGAGAAATGTCTTTGTGATGTGTCCATTCACTTCACAGAGTTGAAACTTTCTTTTCATTGAGCAGTTTTGAAACACTCTTTTTATAGAATATGCAAGTGGATATTTGGAGCGTTTTGGAGAGAATGGTGGAAATGGAAATATCTTCATATAAAAACTACGGAGAAGCATTCGGAGAAACGGCTTTGTTATGTGTGACTTCAGCTCACACAGTTGAACCTTTCTTTTGATTGAGCATTTTTGATTCCCTCTTTTTGTAGAATCTGCAAGTGGATATTTGGAGAGCTTTAGGGCCTACGGTGGAAAAGGAAATATCTTCACATAAAAACTACACAAAAGCATTCTGAGAAACTTCTTTCTGATGTGTGCATACAACTCACAGAGTCGAAACTTTCTTTTGATTGTGCAGTTTTGAAACACTTCTTTTGTAGAATCTGCAAGTGGATATTCAGAGGGCTTTGTGGAGTATAGTGGAAAAGGAAATAACTTTGGATAAAAGCTAGACAGCAGAATTCTGAGAAACTTCTTTGTGATGTGTGCATTCAACGTACAGAGTTGAACCTTTCTTTAGATTTGGCAGTTTTGAAACACTACTTTTGTAATATCTGCAAGTGGATATTTGGTGACCATTGCAGCCTATGGTGGAAAGGCAAATATCTTCACATAAAAACTAGACCAAGGCATTCTGAGAATCTTCTTTGTGATGTGTGCATTCTTCTCACACAGTTCAACTTTTCTTTTGATTCAGCAGTTTGGAAACAGTATTTTTCTACAATCTGCAAAGGGATACTTCTTAGCCGATTTAGGCCTATGGTGAATTAGGAAATATCTTCACATAAAAAATAAACAGAAACTTTCTGAGAAACTTCTTTGGGATGTGTGTTTTCATCTCACAGAGATGAAACTTTCTTTTGATTGAGCAATTTGGAAACTCTCTTTTTGTAGGATCTGCAAATGGATATTTAGAGTGCTTTGAGGCCTGTGGTGAAAAAGGAAATATCTCCACATAACAACTAGACAGAAGCATTCTGGGAACATCTTTGTGATGTGTGCATTCATCTCACAGAGTTGAACCTTTCTTTTGATTGAGTAGTTTGGAAACAGTCTTTGATAGTATCTGCAGAGAGATATTTGTGAGCATTTTGAGGACTTTGGTGAGAAAAGAAATATCTTCATATAAAACCTAGTCAGAAGCATTCTGAGAAACTTCTTTGTGATGTGTGCATTCATCTGACAGAGTTGAAACTTTGTTTTGATTGAGCAGTTTGGAAACAGTCCTTTTGTAGGATCTGCAAAGGGATATTTCTGAGCCCATTGAGACCTATGGTGAAAGAAGAAATATCTTCACTTAAAAACTAGACATAAGCATTCTGAGAAACTTCTTAGTGATGTGTGCTTTCATCTCACAGGTTTGAACTTTCTTTTGATTGAGCAGTTTGGAAACAGTGTTTTTGTAGAATCTGCAAAGGATATTTTGAGCGCTTTGACGCCTATGGTGAAAAAGGACATATCTTCACATGAAATCTAAACAGAAGCTTTCTGAGAAACTTCTTTTTTATGAGTTCATACATCTCACAGAGGTGAAACTTTCTTTTCATTGAGCAGTTTGGAAACAGTCTTTTTGTACAGTCTGCAAAGGAAATATCTGCGAAGTTGGAGGCCTATGGTGAAAAAGAAATATCTTCAGATAAAATGTAGACAGATGTATTCTGAGAAAATTTTTTGTGATGTATCCATTCATCTCACAGAGTTGAAATTTTCTTTTGATGGAGCAGTCTGGAAACAGTCTTTTTGTAGTATCTGAAGAGGTATATGTGAGAACAGTTTAAGGCCTCTGGTGGAAAAGGAAATATCTTCACATAAAACTAGGTAGAAGCATTCTAAGAAACTTCTTTGTATTGTGTGCATTCATCTCAAAGACTTGAACCTGTATTTGGACTGAGCAGTTTGGAAACTGTCGTTTTGTAGAATCTGTGAAGGGATATTTCTGAGCCCATTGAGGCCTATGGATGAAATAGGAAATATCTTCACATAAAAACTAGACAGAGGATTTCTGAGAACCTTCTTTGTCATATGTGGTTTCATCTCACAGAGTTGAACCATTCTTTTGGTTGAGCAGTTAGGAAACAGTCTTTTTGTAGGATCTGCAAAGAGATATTTCTGTTCCCATTGATGCCTATGGTGAAAAAGGACATATCTTCACATAAAAACTAGACAGAAGCTTTCTGATAAACTTCTTAGTGATGTGTGCTTTCATGTCACAGATTTGAAACTTTCTTTTGATTGATCAGTTTGGAAACAGTCTTTTTGTAGAATCTGCAAATGGATATTTGGAGTGCTTTGAGGCCTATGGTGAAAAAGGAAATACCTTCACATGAAATATAAACAGAAGCTTTCTGAGAAACTTCTTTTTGATGCGTGCATACATCTCACAGAGTTGAATATTTCTTTTCATTGAGCAGTTTGGAAACAGTCTTTTTGTACAATCTGGAATGGGATATTTCTGAGAAGTTGGAGGCCTATATCGAAAAAGAAATAGTATTCTGAGAAACTTCTTTGAGATGTATCCTTTCATCTCACAGAATTGAACCTTACTTTTGATGGAGCAGTTTGGAGACAGTCTTTTTGTAGTATCTGCGGAGGGATATCTGAGAGCAGTTTAAGGCCTATGGTGAAAAAGGAAATATCTTCACATAAAAACTAGGCAGAAGCATTCTGAGAAACTTCTTTGTGATGTATGCATTCAACTCAAAGAGGTGAAACTTTCTTTGGATTGAGCAGTTTGGAAATAGTCCTTTTGCAGAATCTGCAAAGGGATATTTCTCAGTCCATTGAGGCCTATGGTGAAATAGGAAATAACTTCTCATAAAAACCAGACAGAAGGTTTCTGAGAAACTTCTTTGAGATATGTGCTTTCATCTCACAGAGCTGAACCTTTCTTTTGGCTCAGAAGTTTGGAAACAGTCTTTGTGTAGAATCTGCAAAGCGCTATTTTTGAGCACCTTCTGGACTGTGGTGAAACAGAAAATATCTTCACATAAAAACTAGACAGAAGCTTTCTGAGAAACTTCTTTATGATGTGTTCTTTCATCTCACAGAGTTGTAAATTTCCTTTGATTGAGCAGTTTGGAAACACTCTTTATGGGGAATCTGCAAGTGGATATTTGGAGTGCTTTGTGGCCTATAGTGGAAAATGAAATATCTTCACATAAAAACTAGATAGAATCATTCTGAGAAACTTCTTTGTGATGTGCACATTCATCACAAAGAGTTGAACATTTCTTTCGATTCAGCAGTTTGGAAACAGTCCTTATGTAGAATCTGTGAAGGGATATTTCTCAGACCATTGATGCCTATGGATGAAATAGGAAATATTCTCACAAAAAAACTAGACAGAAAATTTCTGAGAAACTTCTTTATGATATGTGGTTTCATCTCACAGAGTTGAACCGTTCTTTTGTTTGAGCAGTTTGGAAACACATTTTTTGTAGAATCTGCAAGTGGATATTTGGAGCACATTGAGGCCTATGGTGGAAAACGGAATATTTTCACATAAAAATTAGACAGAATCATTCTGAGAAACTTCTTTGTGATGTGTGCATTCAACCCACAGAGTTCAACCTTTCTTTAGATTCAACAGTTTTGAAACACTCTTTTTGTAAAATCTGCCAGTGGATTTTTGGAACGCTTTGAGGCCTACGGTGGAAAAGGAAATATCTTCACATAAATAGTACATAGAAGCATTCTGAGAAACTTCTTTGTGATGTGTGCATTTAACTCAAAGAGTGCAATCCTTCTTTTGATTGAGCAGTTTTGAAAGACTCCTTTTGTAGAATCTGTAAGTGGATATTTGGAGCGCTATGTGGCCTTAAGTGGAAAAGGCAATATCTTCACATAAAAACTAGACAACAGCATTCTGAGAAACTTCTTTGTCATGTGTGCATTCATCTCACAGAGTTGAAGCTTTCTTTTGATTGAGCAGTTTTGAAACACTCTTTTTGTAGAATCTCCAATTGGATACTTGGAGCGTTTTGAGGCTTATGGTAGAAAAGTAAATATTTTCACGTGAAAACTACACAGAAGCATTCTGAGAAATTGGTTTGTGATGTGTGCATTCAACACACAGAGTTGAACCTTTCTTTTGATTTAGCAGTTTTGAAACACACTTTTTTTTGGATCTGCAAGTGGATATTTGGAGTGCTTTGTGGCCTAATGCGGAAAAGGATATATTTTCACATAAAAACTATGGAGAAGCATTCTGAGAAACTTCTTTGTGATGTGTGCATTCATCTCACAGAGTTCAACCTTTCTTTTGATTGAGCAGTTTTGAAACGCTCTTTTTGTAGAGTGTGCAAGCAGATATTTGGAGCTCTTTGAGGCTTATGGTGGAAAAGGAAATATCTTCACATAAAAACTACAGAGAAGCATTCTGACAAAGTTCTTTGTGTTGTGTGTGTTCAACTCACAGAGTTGAGTCTTTCTTTTGATTGAGCAGTTTTGAAACACTCTTTTTTTAGAATCTGCAAGTGGATATTTCGAGTGCTTTGCAGCCTCTGTTGGAAAAGGAAATATCTTCACATAAACTAGACAGAAGCATTCTGAGAAACTTCCTTGTGATGTGTGCATTCATCTCACAGAGAGGAAACTTTCTTTTGATTGTGAAGTTTTCAAACACTCTTTTTGTATAATCTGCAAGTGGATATTTGGAGGTCTTTGTGGCCTATAGGGGAAAAGGAAATATCTTCACATAAAAACTACAGAGAAGCATTCTGAAAAACATCTTTGTGATGTGTGCATTCATCTCAAAGAGTTCAACCTTTCTTTTGATTGAGCACTTTTGAAATACTTTTTGGAGAATCTGTAAGTGGATATTTGGAGGGCTTTGGGTCCTATGGTGGTAAAGGAAACATCTTCACATAAAAACTACACAGAAGCATTCTGAAATACCTCTTTGTGATGCTTGCATTCATCTCACATAGTTGAACCATTCTTTTTATTGAGCAGTTTTGAAACAATCTCCTTGTAGAATGTGCAAGTGGATATTTGGAATGCTTTGATGAGTATGGTGGAAAATGAAAAATCTTCACATAAAAACTAGACAGAAGTACTCTGAGAAACTTCTTTGTGATGTGCGCATTCATCTCAGATTTGAAAATTTCTTTTGATTGAGCAGTTTTGAATCGCTCTTTTTTTAGGATCTGCCAGGGGATATTTGGAGTGCTTTGAGGCCTATGGTGGAGAAGGAAATATCCTCACATAAAAATTAGAGAGAAGGATTCTGAGAAACTTCTTTGTGATGTGTGCATACATCTCACAGAGTTTAAACTTTCTATTGATTTAGCATTTTTTAAACACTTTTTGTAGGATCTGCAGTGGATATTTGGAGCCCTTTGGGGCCTATGGTGGAAAAGAATTATCTTCTCATAAAAACTAGACAGAAGCATTTTGAGAAACTTCTCTGTGATGTGTTCATTCATCTCACAGATTTGAACCATTCTTTTGATTCAGCAGTTTTGAAACACTCTTCGTAGAATCTGCAAGTGCATATTTAGATCGCTTTGAGAAGTGTGGTGGAAAAGGAAATATCTTCACATAAACACTAGACAGAAGCATTCTGAGAAACGTCTTTATGATGTGTCCATTCATCTCACAGAGTTGAAACTTTCTTTTCATTGAGCAGTTTTGAAACACTCTTTTTATAGAATCTGCAAGTAGATATTTGGAGTGCTTTGGAGAGAATGGTGGAAACGGAAATATCTTCATATAAAAACTACGGAGAAGCATTCTGAGAAACGGCTTTGTTATGTGTGCCTTCAACTCACAGAGTTGAAACTTTCTTTTGATTGAACAGTTTTGAATCCCGCTTTTTGTAGAATCTGCAAGTGGATATTTGGAGAGCTTTGGGGCCTATGGTGGAAAAGGAAATATCTTCACATAAAAACTACACAAAAGCATTCTGAGAAACTTCTTTCTGATGTGCGCATACAACTCCCAGAGTTGAACCTTTCTTTTGATTGTGCAATTTTGAAACACTTCTTTTGTAGAATCTGCAAGTGGATATTCGGAGGGCTTTGCCGAGTATAGTGGAAAAGGAAATAACTTTGGATAAAAGGTAGACAGAAACATTCTGAGAAACTTCTATGTGATGTGTGCATTCAACGTACAGAGTTGAACCTTTCTTTAGATCGGGCAGTTTTGAAACACTATTTTTGTAATATCTGCAAGTGGATATTTGATGACCATTGCAGCCTATGGTGGAAAGGCAAATATCTTCACATAAAAACTAGACAGAAGCTTTCTGAGAAACTTCTTTGCGATGTGTGCATTCATTTCACAGAGTTCAACTTTTCTTTTGATTCAGCAGTTTGGAAACAGTATTTTTGTACAATCTGCAAAGGGATACTTCTTAGCCAATTTAGGCCTATTGTGAATTAGGAAATATCTTCACATAAAAAATAAATGGAAGCTTTCTGAGAAACTTCTTTGGGATGTGTGTTTTCATCTCACAGAGATGAAACTTTCTTTTGATTGAGCAGTTTCGAAACTCTCTTTTTGTAGGATCTGCAAATGGATATTTGGAGCGCTTTGAGGCCTGTGGTGAAAAAGGAAATATCTTCACATAACAACCAGACAGAAGCATTCTGGAAACATTTTTGTGATGTGTGCATTCATCTCACAGAGTTGAACCTTTCTTTTGATTGAGCAGTTTGGAAACAGTCTTTTATAGTATCTGCAGAGAGATATTTGTGAGCATTTTGAGGACTTTTGTGAGAAAGGAAATATCTTCATATAAAACCTAGTCAGAAGATTCTGAGAAACTTCTTTGTGATGTGTGCATTCAACTGATAGAGTTGAAACTTTGTTTTGATTGAGCAGTTTGTAAACAGTCCTTTTGTAGGATCTGCAAAGGGATAGTTCTGGGCCCATTGAGACCTATGGTGAAAGAAGAAATATCTTCACTTAAAAACTAGACAGAAGCATTCTGAGAAACTTCTTAGTGATGTGTGCTTTCATCTCACAGGTTTGAACTTTCTTTTGATTGAGCAGTTTGGAAACAGTGTTTTTGTAGAATCTTCAAAGGATATTTTGAGCGCTTTGACGCCTATGGTGAAAAAGGACATATCTTCACATGAAATCTAAACAGAAGCTTTCTGAGAAACTTCTTTTTTATGAGTTCATACATCTCACAGAGGTGAAACTTTCTTTTCATTGAGCAGTTTGGAAACAGTCTTTTTGTACAGTCTGCAAACAAAATTTCTGCGAAGTTGGAGGCCTATCGTGAAAAAGAAATATCTTCAGATAAAATGTAGACAGAAGTATTCTGAGAAAATTTTTTGTGATGTATCTATTCATCTCACAGAGTTGAATTTTTCTTTTGATGGAGCAGTCTGGAAACAGTCTTTTTGTAGTATCTGCAGAGGGATGTGTGAGAGCAGTTTAAGGCCTGTGGTGAGAAAGGAAATATCTTCACATAAAAACTAGGTAGAAGCATTCTAAGAAACTTCTTTGTATTGCGTGCATTCATCTCAAAGACTTGAACTTGTCTTTGGACTGAGCAGTTTGGAAACTGTCGTTTTGTAGAATCTGTGAAGGGATATTTCTGAGCCCATTGAGGCCTATGGATGAAATATGAAATATCTTCACATAAAAACTAGACAGAGGATTTCTGAGAAACTTCTTTGTGATATGTGGTTTCATCTCACAGAGTTGAACCATTCTTTTGGTTGAGCAGTTAGGAAACAGTCTTTTTGTAGGATCTGCAAAGGGATATTTCTGTTCCCATTGATGCCTATGGTGAAAAAGGACATATCTTCACATAAAAACTAGACAGAAGCTTTCTGATAAACTTCTTAGTGATGTGTGCTTTCATGTCACAGATTTGAAACTTTCTTTTGATTGAGCAGTTTGGAAACAGTCTTTTTGTAGAATCTGCAAATGGATATTTGGAGTGCTTTGAGGCCTATGGTGAAAAAGGAAATACCTTCACATGAAATATAAACAGAAGCTTTCTGAGAAACTTCTTTTTGATGCGTGCATACATCTCACAGAGTTGAACGTTTCTTTTCATTGAGCAGTTTGAAAACAGTCTTTTTGTACAATCTGGAATGGGATATTTCTGAGAAGTTGGAGGCCTATATCGAAAACGAAATATCTTCACATAAAAACTAGACAGAAGTATTCTGAGAAACTTCTTTGAGATGTATCCTTTCATTTCACAGAGTTGAACCTTACTTTTGATGGAGCAGTTTGGAGACAGTCTTTTTGTAGTATCTGCAGAGAGATATCTGAGAGCAGTTTAAGGCCTACGGTGAAAAAGGAAATATCTTCACAAAAACCTAGGCAGAAGCATTCTGAGAAACTTCTTTGTGATGTATGCATTCATCTCAAAGAGGTGAAACTTTCTTTGGATTGAGCAGTTTGGAAACAGTCCTTTTGTAGAATCTGCAAAGGGATATTTCTCAGCCCATTGAGGCCTATGGTGAAATAGGAAATATCTTCCCATAAAAACCAGACAGAAGGTTTCTGAGAAACTTCTTTGAGATATGTGCTTTCATCTCACAGAGCTGAACCTTTCTTTTGGTTCAGAAGTTTGGAAACAGTCTTTGTGTAGAATCTTCAAAGGGCTATTTTTGAGCACCTTCTGGACTATGGTGAAACAGAAAATATCTTCACATAAAAACTAGACAGAAGCTTTCTGAGAAACTTCTTTATGATGTGTTCTTTCATCTCACAGAGTTGTAACTTTCCTTTGATTGAGCAGTTTGGAAACACTCTTTATGGGGAATCTGCAAGTGGATATTTGGAGTCCTTTGTGGCCTATAGTGGAAAACGAAATATCTTCACATAAAAACTAGACAGAATCATTCTGAGAAACTTCTTTGTGATGTGCACATTCATCACAAAGAGTTGAACATTTCTTTCGATTGAGCAGTTTGGAAACAGTCCTTTTGTAGAATCTGTGAAGGGATATTTCTCAGCCCATTGATGCCTATGGATGAAATAGGAAATATTCTCACATAAAAACTAGACAGAAAATTTCTGAGAAACTTCTTTATGATATGTGGTTTCATCTCACAGAGTTGAACCGTTCTTTTGTTTGAGCAGTTTGGGAACACATTTTTTGTAGAATCTGCAAGTGGATATTTGGAGCACATTGAGGCCTATGGTGGAAAACGGAATATTTTCACATAAAAATTAGACAGAAGCATTCTGAGAAACTACTTTGTGATGTGTGCATTCAACCCACAGAGTTGAACCTTTCTTTTGATTCAGCAGTTTTGAAACACTCTTTTTGTAAAATCTGACAGTGGATTTTTGGAGTGCTTTGAGGCTTACGGTGGAAAAGGAAATATCTTCACATAAATAGTACACAGAAGCATTCTGAGAAACTTCTTTGTGATGTGTGCGTTTAACTCAAAGAGTGCAATCCTTCTTTAGATTGAGCAGTTTTGAAAGACTTATTTTGCAGAATCTGCAAGTGGATGTTTGGAGCGCTATGTGGCCTTAAGTGGAAAAGGCAATATCTTCACATAAAAACTAGACAACAGCATTCTGAGAAACTTCTTTGTCATGTTTGCATTCATCTCACAGAGTTGAAGCTTTCTTTTGATTGAGCAGTTTTGAAACACTCTTTTTGTAGAATCTCCAGTTGGATACTTGGAGCGTTTTGAGGCCTATGGTAGAAAAGTAAATATCTTCACGTGAAAACTACACAGAAGCATTCTGAGAAATTGGTTTGTGATGTGTGCATTCAACACACAGAGTTGAACCTTTCTTTTGATTGAGTAGTTTTGAAACACACTTTTTTTTAGGATCTGCAAGTGGATATTTGGAGTGCTTTGTGGCCTAATGAGGAAAAGGATATATTTTCACATAAAAACTACGGAGAAGCATTCTGAGAAACTTCTTTGTGATGTGTGCATTCATCTCACAGAGTTCAACCTTTCTTTTGATTGAGCAGTTTTGAAACGCTCTTTTTGTAGAGTGTGCAAGCGGATATTTGGAGCTCTTTGAGGCTTATGGTGGAAAAGGAAATATCTTCACATAAAAACTACAGAGAAGCATTCTGACAAAGTTCTTTGTGTTGTGTGTGTTCAACTCACAGAGTTGAGTCTTTCTTTTGATTGAGCAGTTTTGAAACACTCTTCTTTTAGAATCTGCAAGTGGATATTTCGAGTGCTTTGCAGCCTCTGTTGGAAAAGGAAATATCTTCACATAAACTAGACAGAAGCATTCTGTGAAACTTCCTTGTGATGTGTGCATTCATCTCACAGAGTTGAAACTTTCTTTTGATTGTGAAGTTTTCAAACACTCTTTTTGTGCAATCTGCAAGTGGATATTTGGAGGCCTTTGTGGCCTACAGGGGAAAAGGAAATATCTTCACATAAAAACTAGACAGAAGCATTCTGAGAAACATCTTTGTGATGTGTGCATTCATCTCAAAGAGTTCAACCTTTCTTTTGATTGAGCACTTTTGAAATACCTTTTGGAGAATCTGTAAGTGGATATTTGGAGGGCTTTGGGTCTTATGGTGGTAAAGGAAACATCTTCACATAAAAACTACACAGAAGCATTCTGAAATACCTCTTTGTGATGCTTGCATTCATCTCACATAGTTGAACCATTCTTTTTATTGAGCAGTTTTGAAACAATCTCCCTGTAGAATGTGCAAGTGGATATTTGGAACGCTTTGATGAGTATGGTGGAAAATGAAAAATCTTCACATAAAAACTAGACAGAAGTACTCTGAGAAAGTTCTTTGTGATGTGCGCATTCATCTCACAGATTTGAAAATTTCTTTTGATTGAGCAGTTTTGAAACTCTCTTTTTCTAGAATCTGCCAGTGGATATTTGGAGTGCTTTGAGGCCTATGGTGGAGAAGGAAATATCATCACATAAAAACTAGAGAGAAGCATTCTGAGAAACTTCTTTGTGATGTGTGCATACATCTCACGGAGTTGAAACTTTCTATTGATTTAGCATTTTTTATACACTTTTTGTAGGATCTGCAGTTGCTATTTGGAGCCCTTTGGGGCCAATGGTGGAAAAGTATTATCTTCTCATAAAAACTAGACAGAAGCATTTTGAGCAAATTCTTTGTGATGTGTTCGTTCATCTCACAGATTTGAACCATTCTTTTGATTCAGCAGTTTTGAAGCACTCTTCCTAGAATCTGCAAGTGCATATTTAGATCGCTTTGAGACGTGTGGTGGAAAAGGAAATATCTTCACATAAACACTAGACAGAAGCATTCTGAGAAACGTCTTTGTGATGTGTCCATTCATCTAACAGAGGTGAAACTTTCTTTTCATTGAGCAGTTTTGAAACACTCTTTTTATAGAATCTGCAAGTGGATATTTGGAGCACTTTGGAGAGAATGGTGGAAATGGAAATATCTTCATATAAAAACTATGGAGAAGCATTCTGAGAAACGGCATTGTTATGTGTGCCTTCAGCTCACAGAGTTCAACCTTTCTTTTGATTGAGCAGTTTTGATTCCCTTTTTTTGTAGAATCTGCAAGTGGATATTTGGAGAGTTTTAGGGCCTATGGTGGAAAAGGAAATATCTTCACATAAAAACTACACAAAAACATTCTGAGAAACTTCTTTCTGATGTGTGCATACAACTCCCAGAGTTGAATCTTTCTTTTGATTGTGCAATTTTGAAACACTTCTTTTGTAGAATCTGCAAGTGGATATTAGGAGGGCTTTGCCGAGTATAGTGGAAAAGGAAATAACTTTGGATAAAAGGTAGACAGAAGCATTCTGAGAAACTTCTTTGTGATGTGTGCATTCAACGTACAGAGTTGAACCTTTCTTTAGATTGGGCAGTTTTGAAACACTATTTTTGTAAAATCTGCAAGTGGATATTTGGTGACGATTGCGGCCTATGATGGAAAAGCAAATATCTTCACATAAAAACTAGACAGAAGCATTCTGAGAAACTTCTTTGTGATGTGTGCATTCATCTCACACAGTTCAACTTTTCTTCTGATTCAGCAGTTTGGAAACAGTATTTTTGTACAATCTGCAAAGGGATACTTCTTAGCCGATTTCGGTCTATGGTGAATTAGGAAATATCTTCACATAAAAACTAGACAGAAGCTTTCTGAGAAACTTCTTTGGGATGTGTGTTTTCATCTCAGAGAGATGAAACTTTCTTTTGATTGAGCAATTTCGAAACTTTCTTTTTGTAGGATCTGCAAATGGATATTTGGAGCGCTTTGAGGCCTGTGGTGAAAAAGGAAATATCTTCACATAACAACCAGACAGAAGCATTCTGGAAACATCTTTGTGATGCGTGCATTCATCTCGCAGAGTTGAACATTTCTTTTGATTGAGCAGTTTGGAAACAGTCTTTGATAGTATCTGCAGTGAGATATTTGTCAGCATTTTGAGGACTTGGTGAGAAAGGAAATATCTTCATATAAAACCTAGTCAGAAGATTCTGAGAAACTTCTTTGTGATGTGTGCATTCAACTGATAGAGGTGAAACTTTGTTTTGATTGAGCAGTTTGTAAACAGTCCTTTTGTAGGATCTGCAAAGGGATAGTTCTGGGCCCATTGAGACCTATGGTGAAAGAAGAAATATCTTCACTTAAAAACTAGACAGAAGCATTCTGAGAAACTTCTTAGTGATGTGTGCTTTCATCTCACAGGTTTGAACCTTTCTTTTGATTGAGCAGTTTGGAAACAGTCTTTTTGTAGAATCTGCAAAGGATACTTCAAGCACTTTGAGGCCTATGGTGAAAAAGGACATATCTTCACATGAAATCTAAACAGAAGCTTTCTGAGAAACTTCCTTTTGATGACTGCATACATCTCACAGAGGTGAAACTTTCTTTTCATTGAGCAGTTTGGAAACAGTCTTTTTGTAAAATCTGCAAAGGAATATTTCTGCGAAGTTAGAGGCCTATGGTGAAAAAGAAATATCTTCAGATAAAATGTAGACAGAAGTATTCTGAGAAAATTTTTTGTGATGTATCTATTCATCTCACGGAGTTGAATTTTTCTTTTGATGGAGCAGTGTGGAAACAGTCTTTTTGTAGTATCTGAAGAGGGATATGTGAGAGAAGTTTAAGGCCTGTGGTGAAAAAGGAAATATCTTCACATAAAAACAAGGTAGAAGCATTCTAAGAAACTTCTTTGTATTGTTTGCATTCATCTCAAAGACTTGAACCTGTCTTTGGACTGAGCAGTTTGGAAACTGTCGTTTTGTAGAATCTGTGAAGGGATATTTCTGAGCCCATTGAGGCCTATGGATGAAATAGGAAATATCTTCACATAAAAACAAGACAGAGGATTTCTGAGAAACTTCTTTGTGATATGTGGTTTCATCTCACAGAGTTGAACCATTCTTTTGGTTGAGCAGTTAGGAAACAGTATTTTTGTGGGATCTGCAAAGGGATATTTCTGTTCCCATTGACGCCTATGGTGAAAAAGGACATATCTTCACATAAAAACTAGACAGAAGCTTTCTGATAAACTTCTTAGTGATGTGTGCTTTCATGTCACAGATTTGAAACTTTCTTTTGATTGATCAGTTTGGAAACAGTCTTTTTGTAGAATCTGCAAATGGATATTTGGAGTGCTTTGAGGCTTATGGTGAAAAAGGAAATACCTTCACATGAAATATAAACAGAAGCTTTCTGAGAAGCTTCTTTTTGATGCATGCATACATCTCACAGAGTTGAAAGTTTCTTTTCATTGAGCAGTTTGGAAACAGTCTTTTTGTACAATCTGGAAAGGGATATTTCTGAGAAGTTGGAGGCCTATATCGAAAAAGAAATATCTTCACATAAAAACTAGACAGAAGTATTCTGAGAAACTTCTTTGAGATGTATCCTTTCATCTCACAGAGTTGAACCTTACTTTTGATGGAGCAGTTTGGAGACAGTCTTTTTGTAGTATCTGCGGAGGGATATCTGAGAGCAGTTTAAGGCCTGTGGTGAAAAAGGAAATATCTTCACATAAAAACTAGGCAGAAGCATTCTGAGAAACTTCTTTGTGATGTATGCATTCAACTCAAAGAGGTGAAACTTTCTTTGGATTGAGCAGTTTGGAAACAGTCCTTTTGTAGAATCTGCAAAAGGGTTGTTTCTCAGCCCATTGAGACCTATGGTGAAATAGGAAATATCTTCTCATAAAAACCAGACAGAAGGTTTCTGAGAAACTTCTTTGAGATATGTGCTTTCATCTCACAGAGCTGAACCTTTCTTTTGGTTCAGAAGTTTGGAAACAGTCTTTGTGTAGAATCTGCAAAGCACTATTTTTGAGCACCTTCTGGACTATGGTGAAACAGAAAATATCTTCACATAAAAACTAGACAGAAGCTTTCTGAGAAACTTCTTTATGATGTGTTCTTTCATCTCACAGAGTTGTAACTTTCCTTTGGTTGAGCAGTTTGGAAACACTCTTTATGGGGAATCTGCAAGTGGATATTTGGAGTCCTTTGTGGCCTATAGTGGAAAACGAAATATCTTCACATAAAAACTAGACAGAATCATTCTGAGAAACTTCTTTGTGATGTGCACGTTCATCACAAAGAGTTGAACATTTCTTTCAATTCAGCAGTTTGGAAACAGTCCTTTTGTAGAATCTGTGAAGGGATATTTCTCAGCCCATTGATGCCTATGGATGAAATAGGAAATATTCTCACATTAAAAACTAGACAGAAATTTCTGAGAAACTTCTTTGTGATATGTGGTTTCATCTCACAGAGTTGAACCGTTCTTTTGGTTGAGAAGATTGGAAACACTCTTTTTGTAGAATCTGCAAGTGGATATTTGGAGCACATTGAGGCCTATGGTGGAAAACGAAATATTTTCACATAAAAATTAGACAGAAGCATTCTGAGAAACTACTTTGTGATGTGTGCATTCAACCCACAGAGTTCAACCTTTCTTTTGATTCAGCAGTTTTGAAACACTCTTTTTGTAAAATCTGACAGTGGATTTTTGGAGCGCTTTGAGGCCTACAGTGGAAAAGGAAATATCTTCACATAAATAGTACACAGAAGTATTCTGAGAAACATTTTGTGATGTGTGCATTCATCTCACAGAGTTGAACCTTTCTTTTTATTGAGCAGTTTGGAAACTGTATTTTTGTAGAATCTGCAAGTGGATATTTGGAGCACTTTGAGGCCCATGGTGGAAAAGGACATATCTTCCCATAAAAACTAGACAGCAGCATTTTGAGAAACTTCTTTGTGATGTGTGGATTCATCTCACAGAGTTGAAGCTTTCTTTTGATTGAGTAGTATTGAAACACTCTTGTGGAATCTCCAATTAGATACTTGGAGCGCTTTGAGGCCTATGGTGGAAAAGGAAATATCTTCACATGAAAACTACACAGAAGCATTCTGAGAAATTGGTTTGTGATGTGTGCATTCAACACACAGAGTTGAACCTTTCTTTTGATTGAGCAGTTTTGAAACACACTTTTTTTAGGATCTGCAAGTGGATATTTGGAGTGCTTTGTGGCCTACTGCGGAAAAGGATATATCTTCACATAAAAACTACGGAGAAGCATTCTGAGAAACTTCTTTGTGATGTGTGCATTCATCTCACAGAGTTCAACCTTTCTTTTGATTGAGCAGTTTTCAACCACTCTTTTTGTAGAGTGTGCAAGTGGATATTTGGAGCACTTTGAGGCTTATGGTGGGAAAGGAAATATCTTCACATAAAAACTACAGCGAAGCATTCTGAGAAACTTCTTTCTTATGCGTGCATTCAACTCACAGAATTGAACCTTTCTTTTGATTGAGCAGTTTTGAAACACTATTTTTGTAAAATCTACAAGTGTATATTGGGTGCAATTTGCATCCAATGGTGGAAAAGCAAATATCTTCACATAAAAACTAGACAGAAGCATTCTGAGAATCTTCTTTGTGATGTGTACATTCACTTCACAGAGTTATAACTTTTTTTATTGAGGACTTTTGAAACACTCTTTTTGTAGAATCTACAAGTGGGTGTTTGGAGCACTTTGTGGCCTATAGTGGAAAAGGATGTATATTCACATAAAAACTAGACAGACAAGCATTCTGAAAAACATCTTTGTGATGTGTGCATTCATCTCAAAGAGTTCAACCTTTCTTTTGATTGAGCACTTTTGAAATACTTTTTGGAGAATCTGTAAGTGGATATTTGGAGGGCTTTGGGTCCTATGGTGGTAAAGGAAACATCTTCACATAAAAACTACACAGAAGCATTCTGAAATACCTCTTTGTGATGCTTGCATTCATCTCACATAGTTGAACCATTCTTTTTATTGAGCAGTTTTGAAACAATCTCCTTGTAGAATGTGAAAGTGGATATTTGGAACGCTTTGAGGAGTATGGTGGAAAATGAAAAATCTTCACATAAAAACTAGACAGAATTACTCTAAGAAACTTCTTTGTGATGTGCACATTCATCTCACAAATTTGAAAATTTCTTTTGATTGAGCAGTTTTGAAACGCTCTTTTTCTAGAATCTGCCAGTGTTTATTTGGAGTGCATTGAGTCCTATGGTGGAGAAGGAAATATCCTCACATAAAAACTAGAGAGAAGCATTCTGAGAAACTTCTTTGTGATGTGTGCATACATCTCACAGAGTTGAAACTTTCTATTGATTTAGCATTTTTTATACACTTTTTGAAGGATCTGCAGTTGTTATTTGGAGCCCTTTGGGGCCAATGGTGGAAAAGTATTATCTTCTCATAAAAACTAGACAGAAGCATTTTGAGAAACTTCTCTGTGATGTGTTCATTCATCTCACAGATTTGAAACATTCTTTTGATTCAGCAGTTTTGAAACACTCTTCGTAGCATCTGCAAGTGCATATTTAGATCGCTTTGAGAAGTGTGGTGGAAAAGGAAATATCTTCACATAAACACTAGACAGAAGCATTCTGAGAAACGTCTTTGTGATGTGTCCATTCATTTCACAGAGTTGAAACTTTCTTTTCATTGAGCAGTTTTGAAACACTCTTTTTATAGAATCTGCAAGTGGATATTTGGAGCGCTTTGGAGAGAATGGTGGAAAAGGAAATATCTTCATATAAAAACTATGGAGAAGCATTCTGAGAAACAGCATTGTTATGTGAGCCTTCAGCTCACGGAGTTGAACCTTTCTTTTGATTGAGCAGTTTTGAATCCCTCTTTTTGTATAATCTGCAAGTGGATATTTGGAGAGCTTTAGGGCCTATGGTGGAAAAGGAAATATCTTCACATAAAAACTACACAAAAGCATTCTGAGAAACTTCTTTCTGATGTGTGCATACAACTCCCAGAGTTGAATCTTTCTTTTGATTGTGCAATTTTGAAACACTTCTTTTGTAGAATCTGCAAGTGGATATTCGGAGGGCTTTGCCGAGTATAGTGGAAAAGGAAATAACTTTGGATAAAAGGTAGACAGAAACATTCTGAGAAACTTCTTTGTGATGTGTGCATTCAACGTACAGAGTTGAACCTTTCTTTAGATCGGGCAGTTTTGAAACACTATTTTTTTAATATCTGCAAGTGGATATTTGGTGACCATTGCAGCCTATGGTGGAAAGGCAAATATCTTCACATAAAAACTAGACAGAAGCATTCTGAGAATCTTCTTTGTGATGTGTGCATTCATCTCACACAGTTCAACTTTTCTTTTGATTCAGCAGTTTGGAAACAGTATTTTTCTACAATCTGCAAAAGGATACTTCTTAGCCGATTTAGGCCTATGGTGAATTAGGAAATATCTTCACATAAAAAATAAACAGAAGCTTTCTGAGAAACTTCTTTGGGATGTGTGTTTTCATCTCACAGAGATGAAACTACCTTTTGATTGAGCAATTTGGAAACTCTCTTTTTGTAGGATCTGCAAATGGATATTTGGAGTGCTTTGAGGCCTGTGGTGAAAAAGGAAATATCTTCACATAACAACCAGACAGAAGCATTCTGGAAACATTTTTGTGATGTGTGCGTTCATCTCACAGAGTTGAACCTTTCTTTTGATTGAGCAGTTTGGAAACAGTCTTTTATAGTATCTGCAGAGAGATATTTGTGAGCATTTTGAGGACTTTGGTGAGAAAGGAAATATCTTCATATAAAACCTAGTCAGAAGATTCTGAGACACTTCTTTGTGATGTGTGCATTCAACTGACAGAGTTGAAACTTTGTTTTGATTGAGCAGTTTGTAAACAGTCCTTTTGTAGGATCTGCAAAGGGATATTTCTGGGCCCATTGAGACCTATGGTGAAAGAAGAAATATCTTCACTTAAAAACTAGACAGAAGCATTCTGAGAAACTTTTTAGTGATGTGTGCTTTCATCTCACAGGTTTGAACTTTCTTTCGATTGAGCAGTTTGGAAACAGTGTTTTTGTAGAATCTGCAAAGGATATTTTGAGCGCTTTGACGCCTATGGTGAGAAAGGACATATCTTCACATGAAATCTAAACAGAAGCTTTCTGAGAAACTTCTTTTTTATGAGTTCATACATCTCACAGAGGTGAAACTTTCTTTTCATTGAGCAGTTTGGAAACAGTCTTTTTGTACAGTCTGCAAAGGAAATTTCTGCGAAGTTGGAGGCCTATGGTGAAAAAGAAATATCTTCAGATAAAATGTAGACAGAAGTATTCTGAGAAAATTTTTTGTGATGTATCTATTCATCTCACAGATTTGAATTTTTCTTTTGATGGAGCAGTCTGGAAACAGTCTTTTTGTAGTATCTGCAGAGGGATGTGTGAAAGCAGTTTAAGGCCTGTGGTGAAAAAGGAAATATCTTCACATAAAAACTAGGTAGAAGCATTCTGAGAAACTTCTTTATGTTCTGTGCATTCATCTCAAAGAGTTGAACCTGTCTTTGGATTGAGCAGTTTGGAAATTGTCGTTTTGTAGAATCTGTGAAAGGATATTTCTGAGCCCATTGAGGCCTATGGATGAAGTAGGAAATATCTTCATATAAAAACTAGACAGAGGATTTCTGAGAAACTTCTTTGTGATATGTGGTTTCATCTCACAGAGTTGAACCATTCTTTTGGTTGAGCAGTTAGGAAACAGTATTTTTGTGGGATCTGCAAAGGGATATTTCTGTTCCCATTGACGCCTATGGTGAAAAAGGACATATTTTCACATAAAAAGTAGACAGAAGCTTTCTGATAAACTTCTTAGTGATGTGTGCTTTCATGTCACAGATATGAAACTTTCTTTTGATTGAGCAGTTTGGAAACAGTCTTTTTGTAGAATCTGCAAATGGATATTTGGAGCGCTTTGAGGCCTATGGTGAAAAAGGAAATACCTTTGCATGAAATATAAACAGAAGCTTTCTGAGAAACTTCTTTTTGATGCATGCATACATCACACAGAGTTGAAAGTTTCTTTTCATTGAGAAGTTTGGATACAGTCTTTTTGTACAATCTGGAATGGGATATTTCTGAGAAGTTGGAGGCCTATATCAAAAAAGAAATATCTTCACATAAAAACTAGACAGAAGTATTCTGAGAAACTTCTTTGTGATGTATCCATTCATCTCACAGAGTTGAACCTTTCCTTTGATGGAGCAGTTTGGAAACAGTCTTTTTGCAGTATCTGCAGAGGGATATGTGAGAGCAGTTTAAGGGCTATGGTGAAAAAGGAAATATCTTCACATAAAAACTAGACAGAAGCATTCTGAGAAACTTGTTTGTGATGCGTGCATTCAACTCAAAGAGGTGAAACTTTCTTTGGATTGAGCAGTTTGGAAATAGTCCTTTTGCAGAATCTGCAAAGGGATATTTCTCAGTCCATTGAGGCCTATGGTGAAATAGGAAATAACTTCTCATAAAAACCAGACAGAACGTTTCTGAGAAACTTCTTTGAGATATGTGCTTTCATCTCACAGAGTTGAACCTTTATTTTGGTTCAGAAGTTTGGAAACAGTCTTTGTGTAGAATCTGCAAAGGGCTATTTTTGAGCACCTTCTGGACTATGGTGAAACATAAAATATCTTCACATAAAAACTAGACAGGAGCTTTCTGTAAGAAACTTCTTTATGATGTGTTCTTTCATCTCACAGAGTTGTAACTTTCCTTTGATTGAGCAGTTTGGAAACACTCTTTATGGGGAATCTGCAAGTGGATATTTGGAGTCCTTTGTGGCCTATAGTGGAAAACGAAATATCTTCACATAAAAACTAGACAGAATCATTCTGAGAAACTTCTTTGTGATGTGCACATTCATCACAAAGAGTTGAACATTTCTTTCGATTCAGCAGTTTGGAAACAGTCCTTTCGTAGAATCTGTGAAGGGATATTTCTCAGCCCATTGACGCCTATGGATGAAATAGGAAACATTCTCACATAAAAACTAGACAGAAAATTTCTGAGAAACTTCCTTATGATATGTGGTTTCATCTCACAGAGTTGAACCATTCTTTTGGTTGAGCAGTTTGGAAACACATTTTTTGTAGAATCTGCAAGTGGATATTTGGAGCACATTGAGGCCTATGGTGGAAAACGGAATATTTTCACATAAAAATTAGACAGAAGCATTCTGAGAAACTACTTTGTGATGTGTGCATTCAACCCACAGAGTTCAACCTTTCTTTTGATTCAGCAGTTTTGAAACACTCTTTTTGTAAAATCTGACAGTGGATTTTTGGAGTGCTTTGAGGCCTACGGTGGAAAAGGAAATATCTTCACATAAATAGTACACAGAAGCATTCTGAGAAACTTCTTTGTGATGTGTGCATTTAACTCAAAGAGTGCAGTCCTTCTTTAGATTGAGCAGTTTTGAAAGACTCCTTTTGCAGAATCTGCAAGTGGATGTTTGGAGCGCTATGTGGCCTTAAGTGGAAAAGGCAATATCTTCACATAAAAACTAGACAACAGCATTCTGAGAAACTTCTTTGTCATGTGTGCATTCATCTCACAGAGTTGAAGCTTTCTTTTGATTGAGCAGTTTTGAAACACTCTTTTTGTAGAATCTCCAATTGGATACTTGGAGTGTTTTGAGGCCTATGGTAGAAAAGTAAATATTTTCACGTGAAAACTACACAGAAGCATTCTGAGAAATTGGTTTGTGATGTGTGCATTCAACACACAGAGTTGAACCTTTCTTTTGATTGAGTAGTTTTGAAACACACTTTTTTTAGGATCTGCAAGTGGATATTTGCAATGCTTTGTGGCCTAATGCGGAAAAGGATATATTTTCACATAAAAACTACGGAGAAGCATTCTGAGAAACTTCTTTGTGATGTGTGCATTCAACTCACAGAGTTGAACCTTTCTTTTGTTTGAGCAGTTTTGAAACACTATTTTTGTAAAATCTGCAAGTGGATACTTGGCGCGCTTTGCGGCCTATGGTGGAAAAGCAAATATCTTCACATAAAAACTAGAGAGAAGCATTCTGACAAAGTTCTTTGTGTTGTGTGTGTTCAACTCACAGATTTGAGTCTTTCTTTTGATTGAGCAGTTTTGAAACACTCTTTTTTTAGAATCTGCAAGTGGATATTTCGAGTGTTTTGCAGCCTCTGTTGGAAAAGGAAATATCTTCACATAAACTAGACAGAAGCAATCTGAGAAACTTCTTTGTGATGTGTGCATTCATCTCACAGAGTTGAAACTTTCTTTTGATTGTGAAGTTTTCAAATACTCTTTTTGTAGAATCTGCAAGTGGATATTTGGAGGCCTTTGTGACCTACAGGGGAAAAAGAAATATCTTCACATAAAAACTAGACAGA
>NC_000022.11:12977425-12986171 GCF_000001405.40 Homo sapiens
ATTTGATTCCATTCCATTTGATTACTTTCCTTTTGATTCCATTCCATTCGATTCATTCCATTTGAGTCCATTCCATTTCACGCCATTCTATTTCAGTCCTTTCCATTCGAGTCCATTCCATTCCATTCCCTTCCATTCCACTCCATTCCATTCCATTCCACTCCATTCCATTCCATTCCACTCTCTTCCACTCCACTAGAGTCCGCTCTATTCCACTCCATTCCACTCCAAACCACTCCTTACCCCTCCGTTCCACTCCAATCCACTCCACTGCCATAATATCCATTCCACTCAATTCCACTTCACTCCTTTCCACTCCACTCCACTCCATTCCACACCACTCCACTCTACTCTACTCCACTACATTCCAATCCACTCCACTGCGTTCCACTCCATTCCATTCCATTGCATTCCATTCACTCCACTCCACCCTACTCCATTCCATTACATCCCATTGCATTCCATTGCACTCCACTCCACTCCCCTCTGTTCAACTACATAACTTCCCATTCCATTCCATTTGATTGCATTCCACTGCACTCCACTCCAATCCACTCCTTTCCATTCCACTCCATTCCATTCCATTGCATTCTATTCCACTCCAATCCATTCCACTCCACTCCATTGCATTCCACTCCACTCCACTCCACGTCATTCCATTACATTCCATTGCATTCCACTCCACTCCACTCCCCTCCTTTCAATTCCATTCCTTCCCATTCAATTCATTTCCACTCCATTCCAAGACAGTTCACTCCACTCCATTCATTTCCATTCCACCCATTCCCTTCCAATCCGTTCCCCTCCACTCCACTCCACATCTCCACATTCTGTTCCATTCGAATACATTCCCTTCAATTAAATTCCATTCAATTCCATTCCATTTGATTCCATTCCATTCGATTCCAATCCATTCGAGTACAATCCATTTGAGTCCTTTCCATTGGATTACATTGGTTTCCAGTTAATTCTATTTCAGTTCATTCTATTTGAGTCCATTCTATTCCACTGCATTCCATTCCATTCCATTCCATTCTATTCCGTTCCATTCCGTTCCATTCCATTGCATTCCATTCTACTCCACTCCACTCCAATCCACTCCATTCCATTCCACTCTACTCCACTGTACTCCATTCCATTCTATTCCACTGGATTCCACTCCAATACACTCCATTCCACTCCACTCAATTTGATTCCACTCCACTCAACTGCACTCCATTTCATTCCTCTACATTCCATTCCATCGCATTCCACCCCACTCCAATCCACTCCACTCCAGTTAATTCTATTCCATTCCCTGGCATTCCACTCCACTTCACTCCACTCCGTTCAATTCCATTCATTCCCATTCCATTCCATTCCCTCCATTCCACTCCACTCCACTGCATTCAATTCCATTCCACCCCATTCAATTTAACTCCAATCCACTCCACTCCACTTCACCACATTCAACTGGATTCCATTCGAGGTCATTCAATTACAATCCATTCGATTGCATTCCGTTCGATTCCATTCCATTCAATTCCATTTCATTCGATTCCAATCCATTCGATTCCATGCCATTCAATTTATTCCATTCGAGTACATTCCATTGCAGTCGATTCCTTTCCAGTTCATTCCATTCCAGTCCATTCCATTCCAGTCCATTCCATTCAATTTCATTCCATTCGATTCCCTTCCACTGGAATCCATTCCGTTCTATTCCATTCCATTCAATTCCATTCCATTCCAGTCCATTCCATTCGAGTCCATTCCTTTCCATTCCATTCCTTTCCATTCCGTTTCATTCCATTCCATTCCATTCCATTTCATTCCATTCCATTCCATTCCATTCCATTCCATTTCATTCCATTCCATTCCTTGCCCTTCCATTCCATTCCTTTACATTCCATATGATTCCATTCCTTTCGATTCCATTCCATTTGATTCCATTCCAGTTGAGTTCATTCCATTCCATTCCATTCAATTCCATTCTACTCGAGTCCATTCCATTCCAGTCCATTCGACTGCATTCCACTCCATTCCAAGTGATTCCTTTCAATTCCATTCAATTCCATTCCTTTGAATTCCTTTCCACTCCACTCCACTCCACTTTATTCCATTCCATTGCATTCCATTCCACTCCACTCCACCCTACTCTATTCCATTCCATTCCATTCCATTGCATTCCCCTGCACTCTACTCCACTCCCCTTTATTCAATTCCATTCCTTCCCATTCTATTCCATCTCATTCCATTCCACCCCACTCTACTCCATTCCACTCCATTCCATTCGATTCCATTCCATTCCACTCCACTCCACTCCATTCCACTCCATTCCATTCCATTCCTATCCACTCCCCTCCACTCCACTCCATTGCATTCGACTCCACACCACTCCACTCCACTCCATTCCATTACATTCCATTGCATTCCTCTCTACTCCACTCCACTCACCTCTGTTCAATTCCATTCCATTGCATTCCACTCCACTCCACTGCACTCACCTCTGTTCAGTTCCATTCCATCCCATTCCATTCCAATCCATTCCAAGACTCTTCTCTTTACTGCATTCAATTCCATTCCACCCCATTCCCTTCCAATCCATTCCCCTCCACTCCACATCAACACATTCTGTTCCATTCGATTATATTCCCTTCAATTAAATTCCATGTGATTCCTTTCCATTCGAATCCATTCCATTCGAGTACAATCCATTCGAGTCCCTTCCATTGGAGTACATTTGTTTCCAGTCCATTCCATTCCAGTTCATTCAATTCAAGTCTATTCCATTGCAATTCATTCCTTTCCATTCCATTCCGTTTCATTCTACTCCACTCCACTCCACTCTATTCCATTCCAGTACACTTCAATCCACTCCAATCCATTCCATTCCACTCCATTCCACTCCAATTCACTCCACTCTACTCAATTCCATTCCACTCCACTCCACTGAACTCCATTCCATTCCACTCCATTCCATTCCATTGCATTCCACTCCACTGAAATCCACTCCACTACTGTCCAATACATTCCATTCCATTTCATTCGACTCCACTCCACTCCATTCGACTCCACTCCACTCCATTCAATTCCATTCCTTCCCATTCCATTCCATTCCGCGCTATTGCTGGCCACTCCACTCCACTGCATTCAATTTCATTCCACCCCCTTCAATCCCACTCCATTCCACTACACTCCACTTCATCACATTACATTGGATTCCATTAGAAGTCATTCAATAACATTCCATTCGATTCCATTCCATTCGATTCCATTCAATTCCATTCCATTCCATTCGATTCCATTCAATTCAATTCCATTCCATTCGATTCCATTCCTTTCGATTCCATGCCATTTGATTTATTCCATTCGAGTATATTCCATTTGAGTCCATTCCTTTCCATTTCATTCCATTCCAGTCCATTCCATTTGGTTTCATTCCGTTTGATTAAATTCCGTTTGATTCAACTTCATTCGATTCCATTTCACTCGATTTCATTCCATTCCAGTCCATTCCATTCGAGTCCATTCCAGTCCATTCCATTCGAGTCCATTCCATTCCATTCCATTCGAGTCCATTCCATTCCATTCTATTCCATTCCATTCTATTAAATTCTTGTCCATTCCATTCGAATCCATTCCATTCCATTCCTTTCCAATCCATTCCATTCCAATCCAGTCCACTTCATCCCATCCCACTCCACACCATTCCATTCAAATCCATTCCCCACCATGTCACTCCATTCCATACCATACCATTCCATTCCATTCTATTCCATTCCATTCCATTACTTTCTTTTCCATTCCATTCCTTTCCATTCCTTTCCATTCCTTTCCATTCCATTCCTTTCCATTCCTTTCCATTCCATTCCATTCCACTCAACTGCACTCCACTCAACTCCGTTCAATTCCATTACTTCCCATTGCTTTCCATTCCACTCCTTTCCAGTCCACTCCACTCCACTACATTCAATTCCCTTCACCACATTCCATTCCACTCCATTCCAGTCCAATTCACCCCATTCCAGTCCACTCCACTGCTCTCAATTTTATTCCATCCCATTCTATTCCATTCCATTCCACTGCACTACACTCCATTTCACTACACTGTATTCCATTCAACTCCACTCCATTCCATTCCAATCCACTTGACTCGACTCAGTTCCTTTGCTTTCCATTTCATTCCATTCCATTCGATTCTACTCCACTCCATTCCTATCTACTCCACTCCACCCTGTTCAATTCATTTTCTTCCCATTCCATTCCATTCCTAATCCCTTCCACTCTACTCCCCTCCACTGCATTCAATTTCATTCCCCCTCGTTCTATTCCACTCCGTTTCTCTCCAGTCCAGTCAACATCAATGCATTAAATTCGAGTCCATTCGATGCTATTCGATTCCCTTCCATTTGATTCGATTCCATTCGATTACATTCCACTTGATTCCATTCCTTTCGAGTTCATTCCATTTGATTGTATTCCATTACAGTCCATTGCATTCGAGTCCATTCTATTTGAGTCCATTCCATTCTAGTCAATTCCATTCCAGTCCATTCCATTCGAGTCCACTCCTTCCCATTCCACTCCGTTCCAATCCATTCCATTCCATTCCATTATATTCGAGTCCATTCCATTCCAGTCCATTCCGTTCAATTCTACTCCATTCCACTCCACTTCACTGCACTCCGTTTTATTCCATTCCATTCGATTCCATTCCACTGCCCTCCACTCCACTTCACTCCACTCCAATCTGCACTCCATTCCATTCCATTCCACTCCACGCCATGCCATTCCACTCCATTCAAATGCATTCCATTCCATTCTAGTCCATTCCTTTCCACTCCACTCCATTCCACTCGACTCCACTCCACATCACTCCATTCCATTCCATTCAGTTGCATTCCACTCAGCTCCACTCCACTCCATTCCATTCCATTCCATTGCATTCCACTCCACTTCACTCCACTGCACTTCATTCCGTTCAATTCCATTCCTTCCATTCCATTCCATTCCAGTTTTATCCATTCAATTCCATTCCAACCCATTCCATTCCACTACATTCCACTGCAATCCACTCCCCTTCACTGCATTGCATTCGATTCCTTTTGATGTCTTTCGATTCCATTCCATTCAATTCAAATCCATTTGGTTCCATTCCATTCGACTCCATTCCATTCGATTCCATTCCATTCGATTCCTTTCCATTCGACTGCATTTAGTTTTATTCCATTACATTCGAGTGCATTCTATTCGAGTCCATTCCATTTTGGTCTATTCCATTAGGGTCCATTCCATTCGAGTCCATTTCATTCCATTCCATTCCATTCCATTCCACTCAACTGCAATCCACTTCCGTACACTCCATTCAATTCCACTCCACTGCATTCCATTCAACTCCATTCCAATCCATTCCACTCCATCGTACTCCATTCCATTCCATTCCATTCCATTCCATTCCATTCCATTCCATTCCGTTCCATTCCATTCCATTCCTTTTGAGTCCATTGCATTTGAGTCCATCCCATTCGAGTCCAGTTCATGCCATTCCATTCCATTCCTTTCCAATTCCACTCCATTCAATTCCTTTCCATTCCATTCCATTCCTTTTGAGTCCATTGCATTTGAGTCCATCCCATTCGAGTCCAGTTCATGCCATTCCATTCCTTTTGAATCCATTCCTTTCGTGTCCAATTCATTGGCGTCTATTCCATTCCAGTCCATTCCATTCCATTTCATTTCTTTCGAGTCCATTCCATTCCACTCCATTCCAGTACACTCGATTCCACTCCACTCTACTAAACTCCACTACACTGCGTTCCACTGCATCCCACGCCATTACACTCCACTCCACTCCACACCACTCCACTCCAATACATTCCACTGCACTGCATTCTATTCCATTCCATTGCACTCAACTCCACTCCACCTCACTCCGCTCCTTTCAATTCCATTCTTTCCCATTCCTTTCCATTGCATTCCACTCCTCTCCTCCCCACTCCACTCCTTTCAATTCCATTATTTCCCATTCCATCCCACTCCATTCCACTCCACTCCACTTCACCGCATTCCATTCGATTCCATTCAATGCCATTCGTTTCGACTCCATTTGATTCGATTTCATTCCATTCTATGCCATTCCATTCCATTCCATTCCATTCCATTCCATTCCATTCCATTCCATTGCATTCCATTCGATTCCACTCCATTCGATTCCATTCCGTTCAATTCCATTCCATTTGATTCCGTTCCATTTGATTCCATTCCACTCGGTTACGTTCCATTCGATTCCTTTCCATTTGAGTCCATTCCATTCGATTTCCTTCCGTTGATCTCCATTCCAATCCATTCCATTCCAATCCAGTCCATTCAATTCGATTCGATTCCATTCCATTCAATTCCATTCCACTCCTCTCCTTTCCCTTCATTGCATTCCACTCCACTCCACTACACTCTGTTCAATTCCATTTGTTCCCAATCAATTCCATTGCCTTCCATTCCAGTCCACTCCTTTACACTAAAATCCACTCAATTGCATTCCCATCAATTTCACTCCACTCCACTGCATTCCACAAAATTGCACTCCACTCCATTCCATTCCTTTCCATTCCATTCCACTCCACTCCACTCCACTCCATTGCACACTGTTCAATTCCATTCCTTCCCATTCCATTCCTTTCCACACCAATCCACTACTGTCCACTACATTCAATTCAAATCCATTCCACCTCATTCCATTCCACTCCAATGCACTACACTTCAACGCATTCCATTCAATTAGATTCTATTTCTTTAGATTCCATTCCATTCCATTTTATTCCTTTCCATTTGATTAAATTCTATTTGATTTCATTCTGTTAGAGTCCATTTCATTCGAGTCCATTCCATTCCACTCCTTTCCATTCCATTCCATTCCACTCCACTCCACTCCATTCCATTCCACTCCATTCCATTCCACTCCATTCCATTCCACTCCATTCCATTCCACTCCTTTCCATTCCATTCCATTCCATTCCATTCCATTCCATTCCATTCCATTCTACTCTACTCCACACCACTCCAATCAATTCCATTCCTTCCCATTCCATTCAATCCATTCCACTACACTCCATTCCATTCAATTCCATTGCAGTGCATTCCATTCCACTCCATTACACTCCACTCCACTCCATTACACTCCACTCCACTACACTTCACCACATTCCTTTCGATTCCGTTAGACAACATGCAATTCCGTTTTGTTCGATTCCATTCCATTCTATTCCATTCCATTCCATTCCATTGCATTCGATTCCATTCCATTCAATTCCATTCCTTTGGAATCCATTCCATTTGTTTCCATTCCGTTCCATTCCATTCCATTCCACTCCATTCCACTCCACTCCACTCCACTCCTCTCAATTCGATTCCATTCCATTTCATTCCGTTCCATTCCTTTCTATTCCATTCCACACCATTCTACTCTACTTCACTCCACTCCACTCCAATTCATTCCATTCCATTCGATTCCATTCCATTTCACTGCATTCCATTCCTTTGCACTCCATTCCATTCCATCCCAGTCCACTCCACTAAATTCCTTTCCATTCCATTGCACTCCACTCCACTGCACTCCACCACACTCCACTACACTTCATTCCATTCCTCTCCACTCCATTCCATTCCACTCCACTCCATTCAACTCCACTCTACTCCGTTTCCCTCCTCTCCACTCCAATCATTTCCATTCCACTCCACTCCCGTACATTCCACTCAACTCCACTCCACTCTTTTCCATTCCATTCCATTCCACTCCTCTGTACTCTGTTCCACTCCAATCCATTCCATTCCAGTCCACTCTACTCCTTTCCACTCCACTCAACTCCACTCCACTCCATTCCATTCCATTCCAATCCATTCCATTCCAATCCATTCCATTCCACTCCACTTAAACTCTACTCCACTGCAGTCCACTCTACTCCACTCCACTCCATTCAATTACATTCCTTCCCATTCCATTTCATTCCATTCCATTCCCTTCCACTCCACTCCACTCCATTCAATTGCGTTCCACCCCATTGCATTTCACTCCATTCCACTCCACTCCTGTACACTTCACCGCATTCCATTTGAAGCCAATTGATTCCATTCCATTCAATTACATTCCATACGTTTCCATTCCATACGTTTCCATTCCATTTGATTCCATTCCATTCGAATCCATTCCATTCGATTCCATTCCATTCGAGTCTATTACATTCCAGTCCATTCCATTTGAGTCCTTTCTATTCGATTCCATTCCATTCCATTCAACTCCACTCCATTCCATTCCATGCCATTCCATTCCCTTCCTTACCATTCCATTTTGCTCCATTATTTTCCCTTCCATTCCACTACAGTCCTGTCCATTCCACCCAATTTCAACACAATCCTGTCCATTGCATTCCATTCTATTCCATTGCATTGCAGTCCATTCCATTCCAAAAATTTCCATTCCACTCCACTCCACTCCATTCCATTTCATTCCATTCCATTCCGTTGCATTCCACTCCACTCCACTCCACTAAATTCCGTTCAATTCAATCCCTTCCCATTTAATTCCACTCCATCCCATTCCAATACACTCGACTCTATTAAATTCCATTCCATCCAATTCCATTCCACTTCATTCCACTCCACTACACTCTACTTCACCGCGTTCCATTAGTTTCCAATCGATTCCATATGATTCCTTTTGATTCCATATGTTGTATGCCTTTCAATCCCATTCCGTTCGATTCCATTCCAT
>NC_000022.11:12994027-13011653 GCF_000001405.40 Homo sapiens
ATCTGCAGTGTATATTTGGAGCACTATGAGGACTATGGTGAAAAAGGAAATATCTTCACATAAAAACTAGAAAGCAACATTCTATGAAACTTCTTTGTGATGTGTGCTTTCATCTCACAGAGTTGAACCTTTCTATTCATTGAGCAGTTTGGAAATGATCTTTTTGTAGCATCTGCAAATGGATATTTGGAGTGGTTTGAGGTCTTGGTGAGAAAGGAAATATCTTCACATAAAAACTAGACAGAAGCATTCTGAGAAACTTCTTGGTGACATGTGCATTTATAACACAGAGTTGATCCCTTCTTTTGATTAAACAGTTTGGTAACAGTCTTTTTGTAGTATCTGTAGAGGGATGTTTGCGAGCAGTTTGAGGCCTATGGTGAACAAAGAAATATCTTCACATAAAAACTAGTCAGAAGATTTCTGAGAAACTTCTTTGTGATGTGTGAATTAATCTCAGAGTGTTGAACCTTTCTTTGGATGGAGCAGTTTGTAAACAATCCTTTTGTAGAATCTGCAAAGGTATATTTCTGAGCCCATTGAGGCCTATGGTGAAATATGAAATATCTTCCCATAAAAACTAGACAGAATGTTTCTAAGAAACTTCTTTGTGATGTGTGCTTCCATCTCACAGAGTTGAACCTTTCTTTTGATTGAGCAGTTTGGAAACCACCTTTTTGTAGAATCTGCAAATGGATATTTAGAGCACTTTGGGGCCTATGGTAAAAAAGGAAATATCATTACATAAAAATTCGACGGAAGCATTCTGTGAAATTTCTTTGTGAGGTTTTCATTCATCTCACACAGTTGAACATTTATTTGATTGAAGATTTGGAAACAGTATTTTTGTAAAATCTACAAAGGGATAATTGTGAACCCTTTGAGGCCTATGGTGAAGTAGGAAATATCTTCACATAAAAATTACACAGAATCTTTCTGAGAAACTATTTTGTGATGCTTGCATTCATCTCACAGAGTTGAACCTTTCCTTTGCTAGAGCAGTTTGGAAACAGTCCTATTGTAGAATCCCCAAAGGGATATTTCTCAGCCGATTGAGGTCTTTGGTGATATAGGAAATGTCTTCACATAAAGCTAGACAGAAGCTTTCTGAGAAACTTATTTTTAATGAGTGCTTTCATCTCAAAGAGTTAAGCATTTCTTTTGACTGAGCAGTTTGGAAACACTCTTTTTGCATAATCTGCAAATGGATAATTGGAGCGTTTCGAGGCCTATGGTGAAAAAGCAAATATCTTCACATAAAAACTAAACAGAAGCTTTCTGAGAAACAACTTTGTAATGCGTGCATTCATCTCACAGCGTTGAAATCTTCTTTTGATTGGACAGTTTGTAAACAGTCTTTTTGTAGAATCTACAGATGGATATTTGGAGTGCTTTGAGGCCTATGGTAAAAAAGGAAATATCTTCACAAAAAAACTAGAAAGAAACATTCTGAGAAACTTCTTTGTGATATGTGCTTTCATCTCACAGAGATGAACCTTTCTTTTCATTGAGCAGCTTGGAAACAGACTTTTTATAGAATCTGGAAATGCATATTTGGAGCACTTTGAGGCCTGGGGTGAAAAAGGAAATATCTTCAGATAAACACTAAACAGAAGCTTTCTGAGAAACTTCTTTGTGATGCGTGCATTCATATCACAGAGCTGAAACTTTCTTTCGATTTAGCAGTTTGTAAACAGTCTTTTGGTAGAATCTGCGAATGGATATTTTGAGCATGTTGAGGCCAATGGTGAAAAAGGAAATATCTTCACAAAAAAACTACAAATATACATTCTGAGAAACTTCTTTGTGATGTGTGCTTTCACTTCACAGAGTTGAAACTTTCTTTTTATTGAGCAATTTGGAAACAGTCTTTTTGTGGAATCTGCAAATGGATATTTGGAGCACTTTGAGGCCTATGGTGAAAAAGGAAATATCTCACATGAACCCTAGACAGAAGTATTCTGAGAAACTTCTTTGTCTTGTGTCCATTCATCTCACAGAGTTGAACCTTTCTTTGGATTGAGCAGTTTGGAAACAGTCTTATTGTAGAATCTGTGAAAAATATTTTTGAGCCCTTTATGGCCCATGGTGAAACAGGAAATATCCTCAAAGAAAAACTAGACAGAAGCTTTCTGAGAAACTTCTTTGTGATGCATGCTTTCAACACATGGAGTTGTACCTTTCTTTTGATTGAGCAGTTTGGAATGGGTTTTTTTGTGGAATCAGCAAATGGATGTTTGGAGCACTTTGAGGCCTATGGTGAAAAAGTAAATACCTTCACATAAAAAAACACACAGAAGCATTGTGAGAAACATCTCTGTGATGTCTGCATTCATTTCATACAGTTGAATCCTTCTTTGATTGGGGAGTTTAGAAACAGTCTTTTTGTCGAATCAGCAAATGGATGTTTGGAGCAGTTTGAGGCCTATGGTGAAAAAGGAAATATCTTCACATAAAAAACAGACAGAAGGATTGTGAGGAACATCTATGTGATGTGTGCATTCATCTCATAGAGTTGAACCTTTCTTTGATTGAGCAGTTTGGAAACAGTCCTTTTGTAGAATCTACAAAGGGGTATTTCTGAGCCCATTGAAGCCTAGGGTGAAAAAGAAATGTCTTCACATAAAAACTAGATAGAAGCATTCTGATAAACTTCTTTGTGGTGTGTCCGCTCATCTCACAGAGTTGAAACTTTCTTTGGATTGAGCAGTTTGGAAACAGCCCTTTTGTAGAATTTACAAAAATATTTGTGAGCACTATATGTCCCATGGTGAAATAGGAAATACCTTCACACAAAAACTAGACAGAAGCTTTCTGAGAAACTTCTTTGTGATGTTTGCTTCCGTGTCATAGGGTTGAACCTTACTTTTGATTGAGCAGTTTGGAAACACTCTTTTTGTAGAATGTACAAATGGGTATTTTGAGTGCTTTGAGGCCTATAGTGAAAAAAGAAATATTTTCACAGAAAAACTAGACAGATGTATTCTGCAAAACTTCTTTGTGAAGTGTGCATTCATCTCACAGAATTGAATCTTTCTTTGGATTCAGCAGTTTTCTAAACAGTCCTTTTGTAGAATCTGCAAAGAGATAATTCTGAGCCCACTGAGTCCTATGCTGAAAAAGGAAATATCTTCACACAAAAACCTAAGAACCAGACAGAAGCATTCTGAGAAACCTCTTTCTGGTGTGTGCATTCATCTCACAGAGTTGAACCTTTCTTTAGTTTGAACAGTTTGGAAACAGTCTTTTTTTTGAATATGCAAATGGATATTTGGGAGCCCTTTACAGCCTATGGTGAAATAGGAAATATCTTCACATAAAAACCAGACAGAAGCATTCTGAGAAACTTCTTTGTGATGTGTGTATTCATCTCACAGAATTGAAAATTTCTTTGGATGCAGCAGTTTGGAAACAGTCTTTTTGTAGTATCTGCAGAGGGATATTCATGAGCAGTTTAAGGCCTATGGTTAAAACGGATATATCTTCACAGAAACCTCGACAGATCCATTGTGAGAAACTTCTTTGAGATGTGTGCATTCATCTCATAGAGTTGAACCTTTCTTTGGACTGAGCAGTTTTCTAAACAGACCTTTTGTAGAATCTACAAAGGGATACTTCTGAGCCCATTGAGGCCTATGGTGAAAAAGGAAATATCTTCACATGAAATCTTAACAGAAGCATTCTGAGAAACTTCTTTGTGATGTGTGCATTCATCTCACAGTGTTGAAACTTACTTTTGATTGAGCAGATTGGAAACAGTCTTTTTGTACAATCTGCAAAGGGATATTTCTGAGCCATTTGAGGCCTATTGTGAGATAAATATCTTCATATAAAAACTAGACAAAAGCATTCTAAGAAACTTCTTTGTAATGTGTGCATTCATCACACAGAGTTGAAACTTTCTTTTGATTGAGCAGTTTGGAGACAGTCTTTTTGTATAATATGCAAAAGGATATTTGTGAGCCCTTTCAGGCCTATGGTGAAATAGGGAATATCTTCACAAAACAAAAAACTAGACAAAAGCTTCCTGAGAAAATTCTTTGTGATGTGTGCTTTCATCTCACAGAGTTGAACTTTTCTTTTGATTGAGCAGTTTGGAAACATTCTTTTTGTAGAATCTGAAGATGGATATTTGCAGCATTACAGGCCTATGGTGAACAGGAAATTTCTTCACATAAAAACTAGACAGAAGCATTCTGAAAAACTTCCTTGTGATGTGTGCATTCATGTCACAGAGTTGAAACTTTCTTTGGATTGAGCAGTTTGGAAAGAGTCCTTTTGTAGAATCTGCAAAAGGATGTTTGTGAGCACATTGGAGCCTATGGTGAAATAGGAATGTCTTCACATAAAAACTAGACAGAAGCTTTCTGTAAAACTTCCTTGTGTTGTGTGCTTTCAACTCACAGAGTTGAACCTCTCTTTTGATTGAGCAGTTTGGAAACACTCTTTTTGTAGAACTTGCAAAAGAATATTTGTAGTGCTTTGAGGCCTATGGTTAAAAAGAAAATATTTGCATATAAAAACTAGTCGGAAACTTTCTGGGAAACTTTCTGAGAAACTTCTTTGTGATGTGTGCTTTCATCTCACAGAGTTGGACCTTGTTTTCATTGAGCAGTTTGGCAACAAGTCATTTTGTAGAATCTGCAAAGGGATATTTGTGAGTGGTTTGAGGCCAATAGTGAAAAAGTAAATATCTTCACCTAAAACCTAGACAGAAGCATTTTGAGAAAACTCTTTGTGATGTTTGCATTCATCTCACTGAGTTGAACCTTTCTATTCATTAAGCAGTGTTGAATCATACTTTTTGTGCAACCTGCAAAGGAATATTTGTTTGCGGTTTGAGACCTATGGTGAAAAAGTAATATCTTCACATAAAAACTAGACAGAAGCATTTTGAGAAACTAATTTTTTATGTGTGCATTGATCTCACAGAGTTGAACCTTTCTTTTGATGAGGCAGTTTGGAAACAGTTTTTTGTAGAGTCTGAAAAGGGATATTTTTTATCTCTTTGAGGCCTAAGGTGAAATAGGAAATATCCTCACATAAAAACTAGACAGAAAATTTCTGAGAAACTTCTTTGTGACGTGGGCTTTCATCTCACAGATGTGAACCTTTATTTTGATTGAGCAGCTTGGAAAGAGTCTTTTGTAGTGTCTGAAGTGCGCTATTATTGAGTGGACTGAGGCCTATGGTGAAAAAGGAAATGGCTTCTCAAAAAAAGTATACAGAAGCATTCTGAGAGACTTCTTTGTAATGTGCGCATTCATCTTACAGTGTTAAACCTTTCTTTTGATTGAGCTTTTTGGAAACACTCTTTTTGTAGCATCTGCAAGAGTATACTTCTGAGCCCATTGAGACCTATTTTGAAATATGAAATATCTTCACATAAAAATTAGATAGAAGGTTTCTAAGAAACTCCTTTGTGAAGTGTGCTTTCATCTCATAGAGTTGAAACTTTCTTGTGATTAAGCAGTTTGAAAACACTCTTTTTGTAGATTCTGCAAGTGGATATTTGGAGTGCTTTGAGGCCCATGGTGAAAAAGGAAATATCTTCACATAAAAACTAAACAGAAGTTTTCTGAGAAAATTCTTTGTGATGTGTGCATTCATCACACACAGTTGAACCGTTCTTTTGATTGAGCAATTTGGAAAAAGTCTTTTTGTAGAATCTGCAAATGGATATTTGGAGCACTTTGAGGCCTATGGTGAAAAATGAAACTTCTTCACATAAAACAAGACAAAAGCATTCTGAGAAACTTCTTAGTGATGTGTGACAAAATTTAGCCTTTCTTTTCATTGAGCAGTTTGCAAGCAGTCTTTTTGGAGAATCTGCAAAGGGATATTTCTGAGCCCTTTGAGGCCTATGGTGAAATAGGAAATATCTTTACATAAAAACTAGACAGAAGCTTTCTGAGAAACTTCTTTGTGATGCGTGCTTTCATCTCACAGAGTTGAACCTTTTTTTTGATGGAGCAGTTTGGATACAGTCATTTCATAGAATCTGCAAAGGGATATTTCTGAGTTCTTTGAGTCCTATAGTGAAATAGGGATTATCTTCACATAATAACTAGACAGAAGCATTCTGAGAAACTTCCTTGTGGTGTGTCCTTTCATTTCACAGAATTGAACCTTTCCTTTGATTGAGCAGTTTGGAAACACTCTTTTTGTAGAACCTGTAAACAGATATTTGGAGCGCTTTGAGGCATAAGGTGAAAAAGGAAGAATCTGCACACAAGAACTAGATAGAAACTTTCTGAGAAACTTCTTCATGATGCGTGCTTTCATCTCACAGATTCAATCTTTTCTTTTCATTGAGTAGTTTGGGAACAAGTCATTTTGTAGAATCTGCAAAGGTATATTTGTGAGCTGTTTGAGGCCTATGGTGAAAAACTAAATATCTTCACATAAAAACCAGACAGAAGCTTTTTGAGGTAACTCTTTGTGATGTTTGCATTCATCTCAAAGAGTTGAACCTTTCTGTTCATTGAGGAGTTTGGAAACATTCTTTTTGTGCAAACTACAAAGTAATATTTCTGAGTGGTTTGAGGCCTATGGTGAAAAAGAAATAACTTCACATAAAAACTAGACACAAGCATTCTGAGAAACTTCCTTTTTATCTGTGCATTCACCTCACAGAGTTGGACCTTTCTTTTCATTGAGCAGTTCATAAACAGTCTTTTTGTAGAATCTGCAAAGGGATATTTGTGATCCCATTGAGGCCTACAGTGAAATAGGAAATATCTTCACATAAATACTAGACAGAAGCTTTCTGAGAAACTTCTTTGTGATGTGTGCTTTCATCCTGCAGAGTTGAACCCTTCTGTTGATTGATCACTTTGGAAACAGTCTTTGGAAGAATCTACAAATGGATATTTGGAGAGCTTTGAGGCCTAGGTTTAAAAAGGAAATATATTCACATAAAAAGTAGAGAGAAGAATTTTGAGAAACTTCTTTGTGATGTGTGCTTTCATTTCACAGAGTTGAATCATTCTTTTGACTGAGCATCTTGGAAACAGTCTTTTTGTACAATCTGCAAAGGGATATTTCTGAGCCATTTGAGACCTATGGTGAAAACGAAATATCTGCACATAAAAACTAGACAGAAGCATTCTGAGAAACTTCTTTGTGATGTGTCCATTCATGTCACAGAGTTGAACCTTACTTTTGTTTGAGCAGTTTGGAAACAGTCGTTTTGTAGAATCTGCAAAGGGATATTTGTGATCCCCTTATGGCCTGTGGTGAAATACAAAATATCTTCACATAAAAACTAGACAGAAGATTTCTGAGAAACTTCTTTGTGATGTGTACCTTCATCTCACAGTGTTGAACCTTTCTTTTGATTGAGCAGTTTGGAAAGTCTTTTTGTAGAATCTGCAAATGGATATTTGGAGATATTTGAGGCCTGTGGTGAAAAAGGAAGTATCTTAACATAAAAATTAGACAGAAGATTTCTGAAAAACTTCTTTGTGATGTGTGAATTCATGTCACACAGTTGAAGCTTTCTTGTGATTGAGTAGTTTGGAAACAGTCTTTTTGTAGAATCTGCAAAGGGTTATTTATGAGCGGTTTGAGGCCTATGGTGAAAAAGGGAGTATCAGCAAATAAAAACTAGACAGAAACTTTCTGAGAAACTTATCTGTGATGTGTGCATTCATCTCGCAGAGTGGAAGTTTTCTTTGATTGAGCAGTTTGGAAACAGTCTTTTTGTAGAATCTGCAAAGGGATATATGTAGGTGGTTTGAGGTCTATAGTGAAAACGGAAATATCTTCACATAAAAACTAACTGCTCAATGGGAAGAAATTTTTACTTCTGTGTGATAAATGCAAACGTCACAAAGGAGTTACTCAGAAAACTTCTTTCTACTTTTAATGTGAAGATATTTCCTTTTTCACCATATGCCTCAATGTGCTCGCAGATATCCCTTTGCAGATTCTACAAAAATATGGTTTCCAAACTGCTCAATAAACAGAATGGTTCAACCCTGTGAGACAAATGTGCACATCACAAAGAAGTTTCTCAGAAAACTCCCGTCTCATTTTTATGTGAAGATATTTCCTTTTTGAACATAGGCCTCAACGCACTCCCAAATATACCTTTGCAGAATCTACAAAAAGACTGTTTTCAAACTGCTCAATCAAAAGAAAGTTTCAACTCTGTTAGATGAATGCACACATCAGAAGTAGTTTCTCAGCAAGCTTCTCACAAGTTTTTATGTGAAGATATTTCCTTTTTCAACGTGGGTCTCAAAGCACTCAAAAAAATCCCTTTGCAGACTCTAGAATAACAGAGTTTACAAACTGCTCAATGAAAAGAAATGTTTACCTCTGTGAGATGAATATACATATCTTAAAGCAGCTTCTCAGAATGCTTCTTTCTAGTTTTTATGTGAAGATATTTCCTTTTTCACCATAGGCCTCAACTTGCTCCTAAATATCCCTTTGCAGATTCTACAAAAAGACTGTTTCCAAACTGCTCAATCAAAACAAACGTTAAACTCTATGAGATAAATGAACACATAACAAAATTTTCTCAGAAAACTTTTGTCTAGTTTTTATGTGAAGATATTTCCTTATTCACCATAGGCCTCAAAGTGCTACAAATATCCCTCTGCAGATTCTACAAAAAAAGACTGTTTGCAAACTGCTCAATCCAAAGAATGTTTCACCTCTTTGTGATGAATGCACACATCCAAAGAAATTTCTCAGAAACTTTCTTTATGGTTTTTCTGTGAAGATATTTCCTTTTTCAACATAGGCCTCAAAGACCTCACAAATATCCCTTTGCAGATTCTACAAAAAGACTGTTTCCAAACCGCTCAATAAAAAGAATTATTGAACACTGTCAGATGAATGCACACAGCTCAAAGAAGTTTCTCAGAATCCTCCAGTCTAGTTTTTATGTGAATATATTTCCTTTTTCATGATAGGCCTCAAAGTGCTCCAAATATCCTTTGCAGAGTCTACAAAAAGACTGTTTCCAAACTGCTCAATAAAAACAAAGGTTCAACTCTGTGTGGTGAATGCACACATCACGAAGCAGTTTCTCAGAATGCTTCTGTCTAGTTTTTCACCATAAGCCTCAAAGTGCTCAGAAATATCCCTTTGCAGCTTCTACAAAAATACTTCTTCCAAATTGCTCAATCAAAAGAAAGGTTCAAGTCTGTGAGATGTATTCACACCACAAAGAGGTTTCTCAGAAAGCTTCTCTCTAGTTTTTATGTGAAGATATTTCCTTTTTCACCATAGGCCTCAAAGCATTTACAAATATCCCTTTGCAGATACTACAAAAAGACTCTACACATTGCTCAATCAAAAGAATGTTTCAACTCTGTAAGGCGAATACTCACATCACCAGGATGTTTCTCAGAAAGCTTCTGTGTAGTTTTTATGTGAAGATATGTCCTTTTTCACCACACACCTCAAAGGGCTCACAAATATCCCTTTGCAGATCTTACAAGATTTTCCAATCTTCTCAATGAAAAGAAACAGACACATCTGGGAGATGAATGCACATATCACAAAGCAGTTTTTGAGAAACATTCTGTCTAGTTTTTATGTGAAGGTATCTCCTTTTCCACCACAGGATGCAAAGCACTCAAAATTGTCCCTTTGCAGATTCTACAAAAAGATTGTTTCCACACTGCTCATCAAAAGAAACGTTCAACTCTGTGAGATGAATGCACACGTCAAAAAGTAGTTTCTCAGAAAGCTTCTATTAAGTTTTTATGTGAATGTTTCCTTTTTCCCCATGAGCCTCAAGGTGCTCAAAAGTATCCACTTGAAGAATGTTTAAAAAGACTGTTTCCAAACTGCTCAATCAAAAGAAAGTTTGAACTACGTGAGATGAATGCACACATCACAAATAAGTTTCTCAGAAACCTTCTTTATAGTTTTTCTGTGAAGATATTTCCTTTTTCACCATAGGCCTCAAAGCCCTCACAAATATCTCTTTGCAGATTCTACAAAAAGACTGTTTCCAAACCGCTCAATAAAAAGAATTATTGAACTTTGTGAGATGAATGCACACATCTCAAAGAAGTTTCTCAGAAACTTTCAGTCTGGTTTTTATGTGAAGATATTTCATTTTTCACCATAGGCCTCAAAGTGCTCCAAATATCCATTTGCAGAGTCCACAAAAAGACTGTTTCCAAGTGGCTCAATGGAAAGAAAGTTTCAACTCTGTGAGATGAATGCACACATCACTAAGAAGTTTTGCAGGAGGCTTCTGTCTAGTTTTTATATGAAGACATTTCCTTTTTCACCATAGGCCTCCATCTGCTCAAAAATATCCCTTAGCAGATTCTGCAAGAACAGAATTTCCAGACTGATCAAAGAAAACAAACGTTTTTCTCTGTGAGATGAATGCACACATCACAAAACAGTTTCTCAGAAACCTTCTTTATACTTTTTATGTGATGATATTTCTAATTTCTCCTTAGGACTCAAAGCACTCAAAAATATCCCTTTGCAGCTTCTACAAAAAGATTGTTTCCGAAGTGCTCAATCAAAGAATAGTTCAACTCCCTGTGATGAATGCATACATCACAAAGAAGTTTCTCAGGAACCTTGTTTATAGTTTTTATGTGAAGATATTTCCTTTTCCACCACAGGCCTCAAAGTGCTCAGTAATATCCCTTTGTAGATTCTGGAAAAAGACTGCTTCCCAACTGCTCAATCAAAAAAATGTTTGAACTCTGTGAGATGGATGCACACATCAAAAGAAGGTTTCTCAGAAATCTTCTGTCCATTTTTTATGTGAAGATATTTCCTTTTTCACCATAGCACTCCAAGTCATGACAAATATCCCTTGCAGATTCTACAAAAAGACTGTTTCCAGACTATTCAATCAAAAGAATGGTTCAACTCTGTGAGATGATTGCACACATCACAAGGAAGCCACTAAGAAAGCTTCTGTCTAGTTTTTAAGTGAAGATGTTTCCTTTTTCACCATAGGCCTTAAAGCACTCACAAATATCCCTTTGCAGATTCTACAAGAACAGAGTTTCCAGACTGATCATAGAAAATAAAAGTTTACCTCTCTGAGATCAATGCACACACCACAAAGCTGTTTCTAAGAAACCTTCTTTATACCTTTTATATGAATATATTTCCTCTTTCACCATTGGCCTCAAAGCTCTCATAAATATCCCTTTGCAGCTTCCACAAACAGACGGTTTCCATACTGCTCAATCAAAAGTAAGTTTCAACTTTGTGAGATGAACGTCCACATCACAAAGAGGTTTCTCAGAAAGCCTCTCTCTAATTTTTATGTGAAGATATTTCCTTTTTCACCATAGGCTTCAAAGCACTCACAAATATCCCTTTGCAGACTCTACAAGAACAGTTTCCAGACAGATCAGAGAAAAGAAACGTTTACCTCTGTGAGATGAATGCCTACATCACAAAACTGTTTCTGAGAAACCTTGTTTATACTTTTTAAGTGAATACATTTCCTTTTTCCCCATAGGCCTCAAAGCACTCATAAATATCCCTTTGCAGATTCTACACAAAGAGTGTTTCCAAACTGTTCAATCAAAAGAATGGTTGAACTCCACGAGATGAATGCACACATCACAAAGAAGTTTCTTGGAAAGTTTCTGTCTAGTTTTTATGTGAAGATATTTCCTATTTCATCATGGGCCTCATAGCTCTCAAAAATATGCCTTTACAGATTCTACAAAAATACTGCTTCCAAATTGCTCAATCCAAAGAAAGTTTCAAATCTGTGAGATGAATGCACACATCACAAGGAGGTTTCTCAGAAGGCTTCTCTCTAGTTTTCATGTGAAAATATTTCGTTTTTCACCATAGGCTTCCAAAGCATCACAAATATCCCTTTTCAGATTCTACCAAAATACTGTATACAAACTGCCCAATCAAAAGAATATTTCAACTCTGAGAGATGAATTCTCGCATCTCCAAGAAGTTTCACAGAAAGCTTCCATCTAGTTTTTATGTGAAGATAGTTCCTTTTTCACCATAGACCTCAAAGTACTACAAATATTCCTTTGCAGATTTTACAAGAACATAATTTCCAATCTGTTCAATAAAAAGAAATGGTTACCTCTGTGAGATGAAAACACAGATCACAAAGCAGTTTCTCAGAAATATTCCGTCTAGTTTTTATGTAAAAATAATTGCTTTTCCAACATAGGACACAAAACGCTAACTAAAAACCCTTTGGAAATTCTACAAAATACTGTTTCCAAAATGCTCATCAAAAGACAGGTTCACCTCTATGGGATGAATGCACATATCAAAAAGATGATTCTCAAAAAACTTCTATCTCGTTTTTATGTGAAAGTGTTTCCTTTTTCACTATGGGCCTCAAAGTGCTCAAAAATATCCCTTTGCAGATCCTAAAAAAAGACTGTTTCTAAACAGCTGAGTCAAAGGAATGGTTCAACTCTGTGAGATGAATGCACACATCATAAAGAAGTTTCTCACAAACCTTCCTTATAGTTTTTATGTGAAGATATTTTCTTTTAACCATAGGACTCAAAGCCCTCACAAATATCCCTTTGCAGATTCTACAAAAAGACGGTTTCCCAACTGCTCAATCAAAAGAATTGTTGAACTCTGTGAGGTGAATGCATACATCACAAAGCAGTTTCTCAGAAATCTTTAGTGTAGTTTTTATGTGAAGATACTTTCCCTTTCACCATAGGCCTCAAAGTGCTCAGAAATATCCCTTTACAAATTCCACAAAAAGATGTTTCCAAACTGCTCAATCAAAAGACAGTTTCAATTCTGTGAGATGAATGCACACATCACCAAGAAGTTTCTCAGTAGGCTTCTGTCTAGTTTTTATGTGAAGATAATTTCTTTTTCACCATAGGGCTCCAGGCACTCAAAAATGTCCCTTAGCACATTATACAAGAACAGAGTTTCCTAACTGATCAAAGAAAAGAATCGTTTACCTCTGAGAGATGAATGCAGACATCACAAAACAGTTTCTCAGAAACCTTCTTTATAGTTTTCTGTGAAGATACCTCTTTTCCTGCATAGGCCTCAGAGTGCTCACAAATATCCGTTTGCAGATTCTTCAAAAAGACTGTTTCCAAACAGCTGAATTAAAAGAGAGGTTCAAATCTGTGAGACGAATGCACATATCACCAAGAAGTATCTCAGAAACTTTATTTATACTTTGAATGTGAAGTTATTTCCTTTGTCACAATAGGCCTCACAGTGTTCAAAAATACCCCTTTTGAGATTGTACAAGAACAGAGTTTCCAGACTGATTGGAGAAAAGAAACACTTACCTCTGTGAGATGAATGCACACACCACAAGGTTGTTTTAACAAAACCTGCTTTATACTTCTTATGTGAAGATATGTCCTTTTCCACTACAGGATTCACAGCGCTCCAAATATCCAATGGCAGATTCTACAAAAAGAGTGTTTCAAAACTGCTCAACAAAAAGTAAGTTCAACTCTGTGAGATGAATGCACACAACACAAAGAAGTTTCTCAGAATGCTTCTGTCTAGTTTTTATGTGAAGATATTTCCTTTTCCACCATAGGCATCAAAGCACTCTAAATATCCACTTGCAGATTCTACAAAAAGAGTGTTTCTAAACTGCTCAATCAAAAGAAAGGTTCAACTCTGTGAGCTGAAAGCACACATCACAAAGAAGTTTCTCAGAATGCTTCTATCTTGTTTTTATGTGATGATATTTCCTTTTCCACAATAGGCCACAAAGCGCTCCAAATATCCACTTGCAGATTCTACAAAAAGTGTGTTTCAACACTGCTCAATCAAAATAAAGGTTCAACTTTGTGAGTTGAATACACACATCACAAAGAAGTTTCTCAGAATGCTTCTGGCTAGTTTTTATGTGAAGATACATTCTTTTCCACCATATGCCTCAAAGTGATCCAAATATCCACTTGCAGATTCTACAAAAAGAGTGTTTCAAAACTGCTCAATGAAAAGAATGGTTCAACTCTGTGAGATGAATGCACACATCACAAAGAAGTTTCTCTGAATGCTTCTGTCTAGTTTTTATGTGCAGATATTTCCTTTTCCACTATAGGCCTCAAAGCTGTCCAAATACAAATTTGCAGATGTTACAAAAAGAATGTTTCCAACCTGCTCAATAAAAAGACATGTTCAACTCGATGAGTTGAATGCACACATCACAAAAAAAGTTTCTCAGAATGCTTCTGTCTAGTTTTTATGTGAAGATATTTCCTTTTCCACCATAGGCCTCAAAGGGCTCTAAATATCCAACTGCTGATTCTACAAAAAGAGTGTTTCAAAACTGCTCAATCAAAAGAAATGTTCAACTCCATGAGGTGAATGTGCACATCACAAAGAAATATCTTAGAATTATTCTGTCTAGTTTTTATGTGAAGATATTTCCTTTTCTATCATGGCCATAAAGTGCTCCACATATCCACTTGTAGGTTCTACAAAAAGAGTGTTTCAAAACTGCTCAATGAAAAGAATGGTTCAACTCTGTGAGATGAATGCACACATCACAAAGAAGTTTCTCAGAATGCTTCTGTCTGGCTTAAGGCCACATAGCGCTCCAAATTGCAGGTTCTACAAAAGGAGTCTTTCAAAACTGCTCTATCAAAAGAAGGTTTCCATTCCGTGAGTTGAATGCACACATCCAAAGAAGTTTCTCAGAATGCTTCTGTCTACGATTTATGTGAAGATATTTCCTTTTCCACTATAGGCCTCAAAGTGCTCCAAATATCCATTGGCAGATTTTACAAAAAGAGTGTTTCAAAACTGCTCAATCAAAAGAAAGGTTGAACACTGTGAGTTGAATGCACACATCACAAAGAAGTTTCTCAAAATGCTTCTCTGTAGTTTTTATGTGAAGATATTTCCTTTTCCACCATAGGCCTAAAAGTGCTCCAAATATCCATTTGCAGATTCTACAAAAAGAGACATTCAAAACTGCTCAATCAAAAGAAAGGTTCAAGTCTGTGAGTTGAATGCACACATAACAAAGAACGTTCTCAGAATGCTTCTGTCTAGTTTTTATGTGAATATATTTGCTTCACCACTATAGGCCACAAAGCACTCCAAATATCCACCTGCAGATTCTACAAAACAGTATTTCAAAACTGCTCAATCAAAAGAATGGTTCAACTCTGTGAGATGAATGCACACATCACAAAGAAGTATCACAGAATGCTTCTGTGAATACATATTTCGTTTTCCACCATAGGCCTCAAAGTGCTACAAATATCCACTGGCACACTGTACAGAAAGAGTGTTTCAAAACTGGTCAATAAAAAGAAAATTTCAACTCTGTGAAATGAATGCACATATCACAAAGATGTTTCTGAGAATGTTCTGTCTAATTTTTATGTGAATATATTTCCTTTTCCCCTATAGGCCACAAAGTGCTCCAAATATCCACTTTCACACTCTACAAAAAGAGCGTTTCAAAACGGCTCAATCAAAAGAAAGGTTGAACTCTGTGAGTTGAATGCACTCATCACAAAAAGTTTCTCAGAATGCTTCTCCATTGTTTTTATGTGAAGATATATCCTTTTCCACAATAGGCCACAAAGCGCTACAAATATCCACTTGCAGATCCTAAAAAAAGTGTGTTTCAAAACTGCTCAATCAAAAGAAAGGTTCAACTCTGTGAGTTGAATGCACTCATCACAAACCAATTTCTCAGAATGCTTCTGTGTAGTTTTCATGTGAAGTTATTTCCTTTTCCACCATAGGCCTCAAAGCGCTCCAAGTATCCAATTGGAGATTCTACAGAAAGACTATTTCCAAACTGCTCAATCAAAAGGAAGCTTCAACTCTGTGAGATGAAGGCATACATCACAAAGAAGTTTCTCAGAATGCTGTTGTCTAGTTTTTATGTGAAGATATTGCCTTTTCCACTTAAGGCCACATAGCGCTCCAAAGATCCACTTGCAGATTCTACAAAAGGAGTCTTTCAAAGCTGCTCAATCAAAAGAAGGATTCTACTCTTTGAGTTGAATGCACACATCACAAAGAAGTTTCTCAGAATGCTTCTGTGTACTATTTATGTGAAGATATTTCCTTTACCACCATAGGCCTCAAAGCGCTCCAAAGATCCACTGGCAGATTTTACAAAAAGAGTGTTTCAAAACTGCTGAATCAAAAGAAAGGTTGAACTCTGTGAGTTGAATGCACACATCACAAAGAAGTTTCTCAGAATGCTTCTGTCTAATTTTTATGTGAAAATATTTCGTTTTCCACCATAGGCCTCAATGTGCTCCAAATATCCACTTGCAGATTCTACAAAAAGAGTGTTTCCAATCTTCTCAACCAAAAGAACGGTTCAACTCTGTGAGATGAAACCACATATCACAAAGAAGTTTCTCAGAAATTTCTGTCTAGTTTTTATGTGAGAATATTTCCTATTTCATCCATAGGCATCAATGGGCTGAGAAGTATCCCTTCACAGATTCTACAAGAGGACTGTTTCCAAGCTGCTCAATTGAAAGAAATGTTCAACTCTTTGTGATGAATGTGCATATCACAAATAAGTTTCTCAGAATGTTTCTGTCTAGTTTTTATGTGAAGGTATTTCGTTTTCCACTATAGGCCGTAAAGCACTCCAAATATCCACTTGCAGATTCTACAAAAAGACTGTTTCCAAACTACTCAATCAAAAGAAATGTTCAACTTTTTTAGTTGAATGCACGCATCACAAAGAAGTTTCTCAGCATGCTTCTGTCTAGTTTTTATGTGAAGATGTTTCCTTTTCCACCAGAGGCCTCAAAGCGCTTCAAATATACACTTGCAGATACTGCAAAAAGAGGGTTTCAAAACTGCTCAATCAAAAGAAAGTTTGAAGTCTGTGAGATGAATGCACACATCACAAAGAAGTTTCTAAGAATGCTTCCATCTGAATTTTATGTGAGGATATTTCCTTTTTCACCATAGGCCTCAATACGCTCCAAATATCCATTTATAGATAATACAAATGACTGTATCCAAACCGCTCAATCAAAAGAAAGTTCAACTGTGTATGATGAATACACACATCACAAGGAAGTTTCTCAGAAAGTTTTTGTCTAATTTTTAGGTGAAGTTATTTCTTACTTCCCCAGAGGCCTCAATGGGCTCTCAAATATTCCCTTTCATATTCTACTAAACGACTGTATCGAATCTGCTCAATCAAAAGAAAGGTTTAACAGTGTGAGACGAAAATACACCTTCCTGGGAAGTTTCTCAGAATTCTTCTTTCTAGTTTTTTATGTGAAGATATTTCCTTTTCGACTATAGGCCTCAAATCGTTCCAAATATCCACTTGCAGATACTACAAATAGAGCGTTTCAAAACTGCTCAATCAAAAGAAAGGTTCAACTCTGTGAGATGAATGCAGACATCACAAAGAAGTTTCTCAGAATGCTTCTGCCTTGTTTTTATGTGAAGATATTTCCTTTTTCACCATAGGCCTCAAAGCACTGGTAATATCCATTTGCAGGTACTACAAAAAGACTGTTCCCAAACAGCTCAATAAAAAGAAAGTTTCAACTCTATGAGATGAAAGCAAATATCACAAAGAAGTTTCTCGGAAACTTTCTATCTAGTTTTTATGTGAACATATTCTTATCACCCCATAGACCTCAATGGCTCACAAGTATCCTTCTGCAGATTATAAAAAACGACTGTT
>NC_000022.11:13014130-13021322 GCF_000001405.40 Homo sapiens
CACAAGCGCTCCATATATCCACTTGCAGATACTACAAAAAGAGTGTTTCCAAACTGCTCAATCAAAAGAAAGGTTCAACTCCGTGAGTTGAATGCACACATAACAAAGAATTTTCTCAGAATGCTTCTGTCTAGTTTTCATGTGAAGATATTTCCTTTTCCACCACATGCCTCAAAGCGCTCCAAAAATCCACAAGCAGATTCCATAAATAGAGTATTTCAAAACTGCTGAATCAAAAGAAAGTTTCAGCTCTGTGAGATGAATGCACACTTCACAAAGAAGATTCTCAGAATGCTTCTGTCTAGTTTTTATGTGAAGATAATTCCTTTTCCACATTAGGCCTCAAAGCTCTTCAAATATCCCTTGCAGATTCTACAAAAAGAGTGTTTCAAAACTGCTCAATCGAAAGAAAGGTTCAAGTCTGTGAGATGAATGCACATCTCACAAAGACGTTTCTCAGAATGCTTCTGTCTAGTTTTTATTTGAAGATTTATCCTTTTCCACAATAGGCTGCAAAGTGCTCCAAATATCCACTTACAGATTCTTCAAAAAGAGTGTTTCCAGACTGCTCAATCAAAAGAAAGGTTCAACTCTGTTAGTTGAATGCACACATTACAACAAAGTTTATCAGAATGCTTCTGTCTAGTTTTTAGGTGAATATATTCCCTTTTAAACTGTAGTCTGCAAAGCACTCCAAATATTCACTTGCAGATTCTACAAAAAAAGTGATTCAAAATTGCTCAATCAAAAGAAGGGTTCAACAGTGTTAGTTGAATGCACACATCACAAAGAAGTTTCTCAGAATGCTTCTGTCTAGTTTTTATGTGAAGATATATCCTTTTCCACCGTAGGCCCCAAAGCACTCCAAATATCCACTGGTAGAGTCTACAAATGTGCGTTTCAATACTACTCAATCAAAAGAAACGTTCAACTTTGTGAGATGAAAGCACGCATCACAAAGTTGTTTCTCAGAATGCTCTGTCTAGTTTTTATGTGAAGATATTTCCTTTTATACCATAGGCCCCAAAGTGTTCCAAATATCCACCTTCAGATTCTACAAAAAGTGTGTTTCAAAACTGCTCAACCAAAAGAAAGGTTCAAACCTGTGAGATGAATGCACACATCACAAAGGAGTTTCTCAGAATGCTTCTGTCTAGTTTTTGTGTGAAGTTATTTCCTTTACCACCATAGGACTGAAAGAGCTCCAAATGTCCACTTGCAGAATCTACAAAAAGAGTGTTTCAAAATTGCTCAATCAAAATAAAAGTTCAACTCTGTTAGAAGAATGCACACATCACAAAAATTTCGCAGAATGCTTCTGTCTATTTTTTATGTGAAGATATTTCCTTTTCCACTTGAGACTGGAAAGAGCTTCAAATATCCAATTGCAGATTCTGCAAAAGAGTGTTTCAAAACTGCTCAATCAAAGGAAAGGTACAATTCAGTGAACTGAATGTGCACATCAGAAGGAAGTTTCTTAGAATACCTCTGTGCAGTTATTATGTGAAGATATTTACTTTTCCACCATAGGCCCCAAGGCTCTCCAAATATCCAATTGCAGATTCAACAAAAAGTGTGTTTCAAAACTGCTCAATCAAAAGAAAGGTTCAACTCTGTGGGAGGAATGCTCACATCACACACAGGTTTCTCAGAATGCTTCTGTCTTTTTTCTGTGTGAAGATATTTCCTTTTCCACTAGAGGATGCAAAGCGCTCAAAATATCCACTTGCAGATTTTACAAAAGGGTGTTTCTAAAATGCTAAATCAAAATAGTTTCAAGTCTGTGAGATGAATGCATATATCCCAAAGAAGTTTCTCAGAATGCTTCTGTCTAGTTTTTATGTGAAGATATAAAATTTTCCACTATAGGCCACAATGCGCTTCAAATATCCACTTGCATATTCTTCAAAAAGAGTGTTTCAAAAGTGATGAATCAAAAGAAAGGTTCAACTGTGTGAGATGAATGCACACATCACAAAGAAGTTTCTCAGAATGCTTCTGTCTAGTTTTATGTGAAGATATTTCCTCTACAATAGGGAACAAAGCACTCCAAATATCCACTTACAGATTCTACAAAAGCGGTGTTTCAAAACTGCTCAAACAAAACAAAGTTTCAACTCTGTGAGATCATTGCACACATCATAAAGAAGTTTCTCAGAGTGCTTCTGTGTAGTTTTTATGTGAAGATGTTTCCTTTTCCACCATAGGCCTCAAAGTGTTCCATATATCTACCTGCAGATTCTACAAAAAGAGTGTTTCGAAACTACTTAATCAAAAGAAAGGTTCAACCCAGTGAGTTGAATGCACTCGTCACAGAGAAGATTCCCAGAATGCTTCTGTCTAGTTTTTATGTGAAGATATTTCCTTTTCCACTATAGGAGGCAAAGCATTCCAAATATCCAATTGCGGTTTCCACAAAAAAAGTGTTCCAAAACTGCTCAATGAAAGGAAATGTTGAATTATGTGAGATAAAAGCACACATCATAAAGGAGTTTCTAAGAATACTTTTGTGTGGTTTTTATGTGAAGATATTTCCTTTTCAACTATAGGCCTCAAAGCGCTCCAAATATACATTTGCAGATGCTACAAAAAGAATGTTTCCAAACTCCTCAAAGATACGTTCAACTTTGTGAGTTGAATGCACATATCACAAAGTAGTTTCTCAGAATGCTTCTGTCCAGATTTTAATTGAAGATATTTCCTTTACCAACATAGGCCTCAAAGCTCTCCAAATATCGAATTGCAGGTTCTACAAAAACAGTGTTTGAATACTGCTCAAACAAAAGTAAGGTTCAACCCTGTGAGATGAATGCACACATCACACAGAAGTTTCTCAGAATGCTTCTGTGTAGTTTTTATGTGAAGATATTTCCTTTACCACCATAAGCCTCAAAGCACTCCAAATATCCACTTACAGATTCTACAAAAAGAGTGCTTCAAAACTGCTTAACCAAAAGAAAGGTTCAACTCTTTGTGATGAATGCACACATCACAAAGTAGTTTTTCAGAATGCTTCTGTCTAGTTTTTATGTGAATATACATCCTTTTCCACTATAGGCCACAAAGTGCTCCAAACACCCACTTGCGGATTCCACAAAAAGAGTGTTTTAAACCTCCTCAACAAAAAAGTTTCAACTCTGTGAGGTGAATGCACACATCACAAAGAACATTCTCAGAATGCTTCTCTCTAGTTTTTATGTGAAGATATTTGCTTTTCCACCATAGGCCGCAAAGCGCGCCAAGTATCCACTTGCAGATTTTACAAAAATAGTGTTTCAAAACTGCTCAAACAAAAGAAAGGTTCAACTCTGTGAGTTGAATGCACACATCACAAAGAAGTTTCTCAGAATGCTGCTGTCTAGCTTTTATCCAAAGTTATTTCCTTTTCCACTATACTCCACAAAGCCCTCTGAATATCCACTTGCAGATTCTACAAAAGAAGTGTTTCAAAAATGCACAATCAAAAGAAAGTTTCAACTCTGTGAGTTGTATGCATACATCAGAAAGAAGTTTCTCAGAATGCTTTTGTGTAGTTTTTATGTGGAGATATTTCCTTTTCCACCATAGGCCCCAAAGCTCTCCAAATATCCACTTGCAGATTATACAAAAAGAGGGATTCAAAACTGGTCAATCAAAAGAAAGGTTCAACTCTGTGAGTTGAAGGCACACATAACAAAGCCGTTTCTCAGAATGCTTCTCCATAGTTTTTATATGAAGATATTTCCATTTCCACCATTCTCTCCAAAGTGCTCCAAATATCCACTTGCAGATTCTATAAAAAGAGTGTTTCAAAACTGTTCAATGAAAAGAAAGTTTCACCTCTGTTAGATGAATGGACACATCACAAAGACGTTTCTCAGAATGCTTCTGTCTAGTGTTTATGTGAAGATATTTCCTTTTCCACCACAAGCCTCAAAGCGCTCTAAATCTGCACTTGCAGATTCTACCAAAAGAGTGTTTCAAAAATGCTCAAAGGAAAGTTTCAGATCTGTGAGATGAACGCACACATCACAAAGAAGTTTCTCAGAATGCTTCTGTCTAGTTTTTATGAGAAGATAATTCTTTTCCACCATAGGCCCCAAAGGGCTCCAAATATCCACTGCAGATCCTACAAAAAGTGTTTAAAAAATGCTAAATCAATAGAAAGTTTAAACTCTGTGAGATGTATGCACACATCACAAAGAAGTTTCTCAGAATCCTTCTCTCTAATTTTTATGTGAGGATATTTCCTTCTCCACCATAGGCCTCAAAGCACTCCAAATATCCCCTGGCAGATCCTAAAAAAAGAGCGATTCAAAACTGCTCAATCAAAAGAAATTTTCAAATCTGAGATGAATGCGCACATCACAAAGAAGTTTCTCAGAGTACTTCTGTCTAGTTTTTATGTGAAGATATTTCCTTTTCCACCATGCTCATCAAAGTGTTCCAAATATCCACTTGCACATTCTACAAAGAGAGTGTTTCAAAGCTGCTCAATCAAAAGAATGGTCCAACTATGTGAGATGAATGCAAACATCATAAAGAAGTATCTCAGAATGCTTCTGTGTAGTTTTTATGTGAAGATATTTCCTTTACCACCATAGGCCTCAAAGCGCTCCAAATATCCACTTACAGATACTCCAAAAAGAGTGTTTCAAAACTGCTCAATCAAAAGAAAGATTGAACTCTTTGAGATGAATGCACACATCAAAAAGTAGTTTTTCAGAATGCTTCTGTCTAGTTTTTATGTGAATATACATCCTTTTCCACTATAGGCCACAAAATGTTCCAAACACCCGCTTGCAGATTCTACAAAAAGAGTGTTTCAAAAGTCCTCAATAAAAAAAGTTAAAACTCTGTGATGTGAATGAACACATCACAAAGAAGATTCTCAGAATGCTTCTGTCTAGTTGTTACGTGAAGATATTTGCTTTTCCACCATAGTCATCAAAGCACTCTAAATATCCACTTGCAGATTCTACAAAAAGAGTGTTTCTAAACTGCTCAATCAAAAGAAAGGTTCAACTCTGTGAGCTGAAAGCACACATCACAAAGAAGTTTCTCAGAATGCGTCTGTCTAGCTTTTATGCAAAGTTATTTCCTTTTCCACAATACTCCACAAAGCCCTCTGAGTATCTACTTGCAGAATCTACAAAAAGAGTGTTTCAAAACTGCACAATCAAAAGAATGGTTCAACTCTGTGAGTTGTATGCACACATCACAAAGAAGTTTTTCAGAGTGCTTTTGTATAGTTTTTATGTGAAGATATTTCATTTCACCAGAGGCCCCAAAGTGCTCCAAATATCCACTTGCAGATTCTACAAAAAGAGGGATTCAAAACTGCTCAATCAAAAGAAAGCTTCAACTCTGTGAGTTGAATGCACACATCACAAAGACGTTTCTCACAATGCTTCTCCATAGTTTTTATATGAAGATATTTCCATTTCCACCATTCTCTCCAAAGTGTTCCAAATATCCACTTGCAGATTCTACAAAAAGAGTGTTTCAAAACTGTTCAATCGAATTAAAGTTTCTTCTCTTTGAGAAGAATGCACATATCACAAAGAAGTTTCTCAGAATGCTTCTGTGTAGTTTTTATGTGAAGGTATTTCCTTTTACACCATAGGTCACAAAGGGCTCCAAATATTCCTTGCAGATTCTACATAAAGAGAGTTTCAGAACTCCTCTATCAAAAGATAGATACAACGCTGAGTTCAATGTACACATCTCAAAGAAGTTTCTCAGAATGCTTCTGTTTAGTTTTTATGTGAAGATATTTCCATTTCTACAATAGGCCTCAAAACGCTCCAAGTATCCACTTGTAGATTTTACTAAAAGAGTGTTTCCAACTGTTCAATCAAAAGAAATTTACGACTCTGTGAGATGAATGCACAAGTCACACAGAACTTTCTCAGAATGCTTCTGTGTAGTTTTTATGTGAAGATATTTCCTTTTCCACAATGGGCCTCAAAGTGCTCTATGAGATGAATGCACACGTCAAAAGACATTTCTCAGAATGCTTCTGTGTAGTTTTTATGTGAAGATATTTCCTTTTCCACCATAGGCCGCAAAGGCCTCCAAATATCCACTTGCAGATTCTACAAAAAGAGAGTTTCAAAATTGCTCAATCAAAAGATAGGTTCAACTCTGTGAGCTGAATGCACTCATCACAAACAAGTTTCTCAGAATGCTTCTGTGTAGTTTTTATGTGAAGATATTTCCTTTTCCACAATGGGCCTCAAAGTGCTCTATGAGATGAATGCACACGTCAAAAGACATTTCTCAGAATGCTTCTGTGTAGTTTTTATATGAAGATATTTCCTTTTCCTCCCTAGGCCTCAATGCACTCCAAATATCTACTTGCAGATTCTACAAAAATAGTGTTTCAAAATTGTTCAATCAAAAGAAAATTGAACTCTGTGAGATGAATGCATACATTTCAAAGAAGTTTCTCAGAAAGAATCTGTGTTGTTTTTATGTGAAGATATTTTCTTTTCCACAATAGGCCTCAAAGGGCTCCAAATACCCACTTGCAGCTCCTACAAAAAGAGATATTCAAATCTGCTCAATCAAAAGATAAGTTCACCTCTGTGAGTTTAACACACACATCACAAAGTAGTTTCTCAGAATGCTTCTTTGTAGTGTTTATGTGAAGATATTTCTTTTTCCACAATAGACCTCAAAGTGCTCCAAATATCCACTTCTAAATTCTCCAAAAGAGTGTGGCAAAACTGCTCATAACAAGGAAAGTTTCAACTCTGTGAGATGAATGCACACATCACCAAGAAATTTGTCAGAATTTTTCTGTGTGGTTTTTATGTGAAAATATTTCCTTTTCCACAGTAGGCCTCAAGCGCTCCAAATATCCACTTGCAGCATCTACAAAGCCAGTGTTTCAAATCTGCTCAATCATAAGATAGGTTCAACTCTGTGAGATGAATGCACACATCATGAAGAAGTTTCTCAGAATGCCTCTGTGTAGTTTTTATGTGAAGATGTTTCCTTTTCCAAAATAGGCCTCAAAGCCCACCAAATATCCACTTGCAGATTCTACAAAAAGAGAGATTCAAAACTGCTCAATCAAAAGATAGGTTAAACTCTGTGACTTGAATTCACACATCACAAAGAAGTTTCTCAGAATGCTTATTTGTAGTTTTTATGTGAAGATATTACCTTTTCCACAATAGGCCTCAAAGCACTCCAAATATCCACT
>NC_000022.11:13021422-13109444 GCF_000001405.40 Homo sapiens
AACATGATGAGAAACTGCTTTGTGATGCGTGCATTCATCACCAGTAGTTGAGTTTCTCTTTTGATTGAACAGTTTTGAAACACTCTTTCTGAAGAATCTGAAAGGGATATTTGGAGCGCTTTGCAGCCTATGGTGAAAAAGGAAATATCTTCACATAAAAGCTAGACAGAAGCATTCTAAGAAAGTGCTTTGTGACGTGTGCATTCATCTCACAGTGTTGAAGCTTTCTTTTGATTGAGCAGTTTTGAAACACTCTTATTGTAGAATCTGCAAGTGGATATTTGGAGAGTATGAGGCCACTGGTGGAAAAGCAAATATCTTCACATCAAAACTAGACAGAATCATTATAAGTAATCTCTTTGAGATGCGTGCATTCAACTCACAGAGTTGGACATTTCCTTTGATTGAGCAGTGTGGAAACAGTCTTTTTGCAGTATCTGCAAACGGATATTTGGAGCACTTTCAGGCCTATAGTAGGAAAGGAAATATCTTCACATAAAAACTACACAGAAAATTACTGAGAAACTTCTTAATGATGTGTGCATTCATCTCACAGAGTTGAAACTTTCTTTTGATTGAGCAGTTTGGAAACACTCTTTTAGTAGAAACTGCAAGGGGATATTTGGAGAGTTTTGTGGTCTATGGTAGAAAAGGATATATCTTCACATAAAAATAGAAGCATTCTGAGGAACTTCATGATGTGTGCATTCGTCTCAAGGAGTTGAACTTTTCTTTTGATTGAGCAGCTTTGAATAACTCTTTCTGCAGAATCTGCAAGTTGATATTTGGAGTGCTTTGTGGCCTATAGTAGAAAAGGAAATATCTTTACATAAAACTAGACAGAAGCATTCTGAGAAAATTTTTTGTGATGTGTGCATTCAACTCACAGAGTTGAACCTTTCTTTTGATCGAGGAGTTTGGAAGCAGTCTTTTTGTAATATCTACAAATGGATATTTGCATCACTTTACTTCATGGAATGGAAAAGGAAACATCTTAACATAAAAACTAGACAAAAGCATTCTGAGAAACTTCTTTGTGACGTGTGCATTCAACTCATGGAGTTCAACCTTTCTTTTGATTCAGCAGTTTGGAAACAGTCTTTTTACAGTATCTGCAAATGGCTATTTGGAGAGCATTGACGCCTATGGTGGAAAAGGAAATCTCTTCTCATAAAAACTAGACAGCAGCATTCTGAGAAACTTATTTGTGATCTGTGCATTCATCTCACAGAGTTGAACCTTTCTTTTGATTCAGCAGTTTTGAAACTGTCGTTTTGTAGAATCTGCAAAGGAATATTTGTGAGCCCATTGAGGCTTCTGGGGTGATAGGAAATATCTTCACATTAAAACTAGACAGATACTTTCGGAGAAACTATTTTGTCATGTGTGACTTCTACTCACAGGGTTGAAACTTTCTCTTGATTGAGCAGTTTGGAAACAGTCTTTTTGTAGAATCTGCAAATTGATATTTGGAGTGCTTTTGGCCTACGTTGAAAAACGAAATATCTTCCCATAAAAAGTAGGCAGAAGTTTTGGAGAAACTTATTTTGATGTGTGCATTCATCTCACACAGTTGAAATTTTCTTTTGATTGAGCAGTGTGGATACACTCGTTTTGTAGAGTCTGCAAGTGGATATTTGGAGCACTTTGTGGCCTATAGTGAAAAAGGAAATATCTTCACATAAAAACTAGATAGAAGAATTCTGAGAAACTTCCTTTGAATGGGCGCATTCATCTCACACTGTTGAACTTTTTTTTTTGATTGATCACCGTCTAAACAGTCATTTTGTAGAATATGCAAAGGAATATTTGTGAGCCCATTGATGCCTCTGGGGAAACAGGAAATATCTTCACATAAAAACGAGACAGAATCTTTCTCAGAAACTTCTTTGTGATGTGTGCATTCATCTCACTGAGTTGAACTTTATTTTTATTGAGCAGTTTGGAAACAGTCTTTTTCTAGTATCTGCAAATGGATATTTTAAGCGCTCTGAGGCCTACGGTGAAAAAGGAAATATCTTCAATATAAATCAGACAGAAGCATTCATAGAAACTTCTTTGTGAGGTGTGCATTCATCTCACAGATTAGAACTTTTCTTTTGATTTAGCAGTTTTGAAACACTCTTTTTGTAGAATCTGCAATGTATGTTTGAAGCGCATGAGGAATATGGTGGAAAAGGAATCTTCTTCACATAAAAACGAGACAGAAGCATTCTGAGAAACTTCTCTGTGATGGATGCATTCATTTCCCAGAGTTAAACCTTTCCTGTGATTGAGCGGTTTGGAAACAGTAGTTTTTTACAATCTGCAGAAGGATACTTGTGAGCCGATTGAGGTCTATGGGGTGATAAGAAATATGTTCACATAAAAACTAGATAGAAAGTTTCTGAGAAACTTCTTTGTGATATTTGCTTTTATCTCATAGAGTTGAAACTTTCTTTTTATTGAGCAGTTTGGGAACAGTCTTTTTGTAGTATCTGCAAATGGATATTACCAGGGCTTTGAGGCCTATGGTGAAAAAGGAAATATCTTCACATAAAAACAAGGCAGAAGCATTCTGAGAAACTTCTTTTTGATGTCTGCATTCATCTCACAGAGTTGAACCTTTCTTTTGATTGAGCAGTTTTGAAACGCTCTATTTGTAGTGTCTGCAAGTGGATATTTGGAACGCTTTGAGGCCTATAGTGGAAAAGGAAATATCTTCACATAAAAAACCAGAAAGAAAGAATTCTGAGAAACTTCCTAGGAAGGTTTATTTTCGTCTCACACTGTTAAACCCGTCTTTTGATTGAGCAGCTTCGATACAGTCTTTTAGTAGAATATGAAAGGGAATATTTGAGAGCCCATTGAGGCCTCTGGGGAAATAAGAAATATCTTCACCTAAAAACAAGACAAAACTTTCTGAGCAACTTCCTTGTGATGTGTGCATTTATCACACGCAGTTGAACTTTCTTTTGATTGAGCAGTTTGGAAACAGTCATTTGTATTATCTATAAATGGATATTTGGAGTGTAATGAGGCCTATGGTGAAAAAGGAAATATCTTCACATAAAAATCAGATGGAAGCATTCTTAGAAACTCCTTTGTGTTGTGTTCATTCATCTCACAGACTTCAAACTTTCTAATGATTGAGCAGTTTTGAAACTCTCTTTTTGTAGAATCTGCCAGTGGATATTTGGAGCGCTCTGTGGCCAATAGTGGATAAGGAAATATCTTCATAAAAAAAATAAACAGAAGCACTTTAAGAAAGTTCTCTGTGTTGTATGCAGTCATATCTCAGACATGAAACTTTCTTTGGTACAGCAGTTTTAAAACACTCTTTTTGGAGATTCTGAAAGTAGATATTTGGAGAGACTTGAGGACTACGGTGGAAAAGGAAATATCTTCACAAAAAAACTAGACAGACAAAAAAGAAACATTCTGAGAAGCTTCTTTGTGATGTGTGCGTCCATCTCGAAGAGTTGAACCTTTCTTTTGATTGCGCATTTTTGAGGCACTCTTTTTGTAGAATCTTCAAGTGGATATTTGGAGGGTTTGTGGCCTGTGGTGGAAAAGCAAATATATTCACATAAAAACTAGATAGAAGCATTCTGAGAGCTTCTTTGTGATGTGCTCATTCAACTCACAGAGTTGAGCTTTTCTTTTGATTGAGCAGTTTGGAAACAGTCTTTTTGTAGAATCTGCAGGTGGATATTTGGAGCGCATTACGGCCTATAGTGGAAAAGGAAATATATTCACATAAAAACTAGACAGAAGCATTCTGAGAAACTTCTTTGTGATGTGCTCATTCAACTCACAGAGTTGAACTTTTCTTTTGTTTGAGCAGTTTGCAATCAGTCTTTTTGTAGAATCTGCAAGTGGATATTAGGAGTGCATTACGGCCTATAGTGGAAAATGAAATAACTTCACATAAAAAATAGACAGAAACGTTATGAGAAACTGCTTTGTGATGCTTGCATTCATCACCAGAGTTGAGTTTCTCTTTTGATTGAACAGTTTTGAAACACTCTTTCTGTAGAATCTGAAAGGGATATTTGGAGCGCTTTGCAGCCTATGGTGAAAAAGCAAATATCTTCACATAAAAGCTAGACAGAAGCATTCTAAGAAAGTGCTTTGTGACGTGTGCATTCATCTCACAGTGTTGAACCTTTCTTTTGATTGAGCACTTTTGAAACACTCTTATTGTAGAATCTGCAAGTGGATATTTCGAGAGTTTGAGGCCACTGGTGGAAAAGCAAATATCTTCACATCAAAACTAGACAGGATCATTATAAGTAATCTCTTTGAGATGCGTGCATTCAACTCACAGAGTTGGACGTTTCCTTTGATTGAGCAGTTTGGAAACAGTCTTTTTGCAGTATCTGCAAGCGGATATTTGGAGCACTTTCAGGCCTATAGTAGGAAAGGAAATATCTTCACCTAAAAACTAGACAGAAAATTACTGAGAAACTTCTTAATGATGTGTGCATTCATCTCACAGAGTTGAAACTTCTTTTGATTGAGCCGTTTGGAAACTCTCTTTTAGTAGAAACTGCAAGGGGATATTTGGAGCGTTTTGTGGTCTATGGTAGAAAAGGCTATATCTTCACATAAAAATAGAAGCATTCTGAGGAACTTCATGATGTGTGCATTCATCACAAAGAGTTGAACTTTTCTTTTGATTGAGCAGCTTTGAAAAACTCTTTCTGCAGAATCTGCAAGTTGATATTTGGAGTGCTTTGTGGCCTATAGTAGAAAAGGAAATATCTTTACATAAAACTAGACAGAAGCATTCTGAGAAACTTCTTTGTGATGTGTGCATTCATCTCACAGAGTTGAATCTTTCTTTTGTTTGAGCAGTTTTGAAACTCTCTTTTTGTAGAATCTTCAAGTGGATATTTTCAGCGCTTTGAGGCCTATGTTGGAAAAGAAAATATCTTCACATAAAAACTAGTCAGAAGCATTCTGAGAAACTTCTTTGTGACGTGTGCATTCAACTCATGGAGTTCAACCTTTCTTTTGATTCAGCAGTTTGGAAACAGTCTTTTTACAGTATCTGCAAATGGATATTTGGAGAGCTTTGAGGCCTATGGTGGAAAAGGAAATCTCTTCCCATAAAAACTAGACAGCAAGCATTCTGAGAAACTTCTGCCTGATGGGTGTATTCACTTCACGGAGTTGAACCTTTCCTTGTATTGAACAGTTTGGAAACAATCGTTTCGTAGAATCTGCAGAGGGATATTTTTGAGCCCATTGAGACGTATGGGGTGATAGGAAATATCTTCACATAAAAACTAGACAGATACTTTCTGAGAAACTATTTTGTCATGTGTGACTTCTACTCACTGGGTTGAAACTTTCTCTTGATTGAGCAGTTTGGAAACAGTCTTTTTGTAGAATCTGCAAATTGATATTTGGAGTGCTTTTGGCCTACGTTGTAAAACGAAATATCTTCCCATATAAAGTAGGCAGAAGTTTTGGAGAAATTTATTTTGATGTGTGCATTCATCTCACACAGTTGAAATTTTCTTTTGATTGAGCAGTGTGGATACACTCGTTTTGTAGAGTCTGCAAGTGGATATTTGGAGCACTTTGCGGCCTATAGTGAAAAAGGAAATATCTTCACATAAAAACTAGATAAAAGAATTCTGAGAAACTTCCTTTGAATGGGCGCATTCATCTCACACTGTTGAACTCTTTTTTTGATTGAGCACCTTCTAAACAGTCATTTTGTAGAATATGCAAAGGAATATTTGTGAGCCCATTGATGCCTCTGGGGAAACAGGAAATATCTTCACATAAAAACGAGACAGAATCTTTCTCAGAAACGTCTTGGTGATGTGTGCATTCATCTCACTGAGTTGAACTTTATTTTGATTGAGCAGTTTGGAAACAGTCTTTTCTACTATCTGCAAATGGATATTTGAAGCACTCTGAGGCCTACGGTGAAAAAGGAAATATCTTCAATATAAATCAGACAGAAGCATTCATAGAAACTTCTTTGTGATGTGTGCATTCATCTCACCGACTAGAACCTTTCTTTTGATTGAGCAGTTTTGAAACACTCTTTTAGCGGAATCTGCAAGTGTTTATTTGGAGCGCATGAGGAATATGGTGGAAAAGGAATATTCTTCACATGGAAACGAGACGGAAGCATTCTGAGAAACTTCTCTGTGATGGATGCATTCATTTCACAGAGTTAAACCTTTCCTGTGATTGAACGGTTTGGAAACAGTAGTTTTTTACACTCTGCAGAAGGATACTTGTGAGCTGATTGAGGTCTATGGGGAGATAAGAAATATGTTCACATAAAAACTAGATAGAAAGATTCTGAGAAACTTCTTTGTGATATTTGCTTTTATCTCATAGAGTTGAAACTTTCTTTTTATTGAGCAGTTTGGGAACAGTCTTTTTGTAGTATCTGCAAATGGATATTACCAGTGCTTTGAGGCCTATGGTGAAAAAGGAAATATCTTCACATAAAAACAAGGCAGAAGCATTCTGAGAAACTTCTTTTTGATGTCTGCATTCATCTCACAGAGTTGAACCTTTCTTTTGATTGAGCAGTTTAGAAACGCTCTATTTGTAGTATCTGCAAGTGGATATTTGGAACGCTTTGAGGCCTATAGTGGAAAAGGAAATATCTTCACATAAAAACCTAGAAAGAAGAATTCTGAGAAACTTCCTAGGAATGTGTACTTTCTTCTCACACTGTTGAACCTTTCTTTTGATTGAGCAGCTTCGATACAGTCATTTAGTAGAATCTGAAAGAGAATATTTGAGAGCCCATTGAGGCCTCTTGGGAAATAAGAAATATCTTCACCTAAAAACTAGACAAAAATTTTCTGAGAAACACCCTTGTGATGTGTGCATTCATCATACACAGTTGAACTTTCTTTTGATTGAGCAGTTTGGATACAGTCATTTGTACTATCTGTAAATGGATATTTGGAGTGTACTGAGGCCTATGGTGAAAAAGGAAATATCCTCACATAAAATTCAGATGGAAGCATTCTTAGAAACTCCTTTGTGATGTGTGCACTCATCTCACAGACTTCAAACTTTCTATTGATTGAGCAGTTTTGAAACACTCTTTTTGTAGAATCTGCCAGTGGATATTTGGAGCGCTACTGTGGCCCATAGTGGAAAAGGAAATATCTTCATAAAAAAAATAAACAGAAGCACCTTGAGAAAGTTCTCTGTGTTGTATGCAGTCATATCTCAGACATGAAACTTTCTTTGGTACAGCAGTTTTAAAACACTCTTTTTGGAGATTCTGAAAGTAGGTATTTGGAGAGACTTGAGGACTACGGTGGAAAAGGAAATATCTTCACAAAAAAAGTAGACAGAAGCATTCTGAGAAGCTTCTTTGTGATATGTGCATCCATCTCAAAGAGTTGAACCTTTCTTTTGATTGAGCATTTTTGAAGCACTCTTTTTGTAGAATCTTCAAGTGGATATTTGGAATGCTTTGTGGCCTGTGGTGGAAAAGGAAATATCTTCACATAAAAACTAGACAGAAGCATTCTGAGAAACTTCTTTGTGATGTGCTCATTCAACTCACAGAGTTGAGCTTTTCTTTTGATTGAGCAGTTTGGAAACAGTCTTTTTGTAGAATCTGCAAGTGGATATTTGGAGCGCATGACGACCTATAGTGGAAAAGGAAATATATTCACATAAAAACTAGACAGAAGCATTCTGAGAAACTTCTTTGTGATGTGCTCATTCAACTCACAGAGTTGAACTTTTCTTTTGTTTGAGCAGTTTGCAAACAGTCTTTTTGTAGAATCTGCAAGTGGATATTAGGAGTGTATTACGGCCTATAATGGAGAATGAAATATCTTCACATAAAAACTAGACAGAAACATTATGAGAAACTGCTTTGTGATGCGTGCATTCATCACCAGAGTTGAGTTTCTCTTTTGATTGAACAGTTTTGAAACATTCTTTCTGTAGAATCTGAAAGGGATATTTGCAGCGCTTTGCAGCCTATGGTGAAAAAGGAAATATCTTCACATAAAAGCTAGACAGAAGCATTCTGGGAAAATTCTTTGTGATGTGTGCATTCAACTAACACTGTTGAACCCTTCTTTTGATTGAGCAATTTTGAAACACTCTTTTTGTAGAATCTGCAAGTGTATATTTGGAGTGCTTTGCAGACTACAGTTTAAAAGGGAATATCTTCACCTAAAAACTAGACAGAATCATTATAAGTAATCTCTTTGAGATGCATGCATTCAACTCACAGAGTTGGACATTTCCTTTGATTGAGCAGTGTGGAAACAGTCTTTTTGCAGTATCTGCAAACGGATATTTGCAGCACTTTCAGGCCTATAGTAGGAAAGGAAATATCTTCACATAAAAACTAGACAGAAAATTACTGAGACACTTCTTAATGATGTGTGCATTCATCTCACAGAGTTGAAACTTTCTTTTGATTGAGCCGTTTGGAAACACTCTTTTAGTAGAAACTGCAAGGGGATATTTGGAGCGTTTTGTGGTCTATGGTAGAAAAGGATATATCTTCACATAAAAATAGAAGCATTCTGAGGAACTTCATGATGTGTGCATTCATCTCAAAGAGTTGAACTTGTCTTTTGACTGAGCAGCTTTGAAAAACTCTTTCTGCAGAATCTGCAAGTTGATATTTGGAGTGCTTTGTGGCCTATAGTAGAAAAGGAAATATCTTTACATAAAACTAGACAGAAGCATTCTTAGAAACTACTTTGTGAGGAGTGCATTCATCTCACAGACTTCAACCTTTCTTTTGATTGAGCAGTTTTGAAACACTCTTTTTGCAGGATCTGCAAGTGTATATTTGAAGCGCTTTGAGGCCTGTGGTGGAAAAGGAAACATCTTCACATAAAAACTAGACACAAGCTTTCTGAGAAACTTCTTTGTGATGTGTGCATTCAACTCATGTAGTTGAACCTTTCTTTTGATTCAGCAGTTTGGAAACAGTCTTTTTGTAGTATCTGCAAATGGATATTTGGAGAGCTTTGAGGCCTATGGTGGAAAAGGAAATATCTTCACATAAAAACTAGACAGAAGCATTCTGAGAAACTTATTTGTGATCTGTGCATTCATCTCACAGAGTTGAACCTTTCTTTTGATTCAGCAGTTTTGAAACTGTCGTTTTGTAGAATCTGCAAAGGAATATTTGTGAGCCCATTGAGGCTTCTGGGGTAATAGGAAATATCTTCACATAAAAACTAGACAGATACTTTCTGAGAAACTATTTTGTCATGTGTGACTTCTACTCACCGGGTTGAAACATTCTGTTGATTGAGCAGTTTGGAAACAGTCTTTTTGTAGAATCTGCAAATTGATATTTGGAGTGCTTTTGGCCTACGTTGAAAAACGAAATATCTTCCCATAAAAAGTAGGCAGAAATTTTGGAGAAATTTATTTTGATGTGTGCATTCATCTCACACAGTTGAAATTTTCTTTTGATTGAGCAGTGTGGATACACTCGTTTTGTAGAGTCTGCAAGTGGATATTTGGAGCACTTTGTGGCCTATAGTGAAAAAGGAAATATCTTCACATAAAAACTAGATAGAAGAATTCTGAGAAACTTCCTTTGAATGGGCGCATTCATCTCACACTGTTGAACTTCTTTTTTGATTGAGCACCTTCTAAACAGTCATTTTGTAGAATATGCAAAGGAATATTTGTGAGCCCATTGATGCCTCTGGGGAAACAGGAAATATCTTCACATAAAAACGAGACAGAATCTTTCTCAGAAACGTCTTGGTGATGTGTGCATTCATCTCACTGAGTTGAACTTTATTTTGATTGAGCAGTTTGGAAACAGTCTTTTCTAGTATCTGCAAATGGATATTTTAAACACTCTGAGGCCTACGGTGAAAAAGGAAATATCTTCAATATAAATCAGACAGAAGCATTCATAGAAACTTCTTTGTGATGTGTGCATTCATCTCACCGACTAGAACCTTTCTTTTGATTGAGCAGTTTTGAAACACTCTTTTAGCGGAATCTGCAAGTGTTTATTTGGAGCGCATGAGGAATATGGTGGAAAAGGAATCTTCTTCACATGAAAACGGACGGAAGCATTCTGAGAAACTTCTCTGTGATGGATGCATTCATTTCACAGAGTTAAACCTTTCCTGTGACTGAGCGGTTTGGAAACAGTAGTTTTTTACAATCTGCAGAAGGATACTTGTGAGCCGATTGAGGTCTATGGGGTGATAAGAAATATGTTCACATAAAAACTAGATAGAAAATTTATGAGAAACTTCTTTGTGATATTTGCTTTCATCTCACAGAGTTGAAACTTTCTTTTGATTGAGCAGTTTGGGAACAGTCTTTTTGTAGTATCTGCAAATGGATATTACCAGTGCTTTGAGACCTATGGTGAAAAAGGAAATATCTTCCCATAAATACAAGGCAGAAGAATTCTGAGAAACTTCTTTTTGATGTCTGCATTCATCTCACAGAGTTGAACCTTTCTTTTGATTGAGCAGTTTTGAAACGCTCTATTTGTAGTATCTGCAAGTGGATATTTGGAACGCTTTGAGGCCTATAGTGGAAAAGGAAATATCTTCACATAAAAAACTAGAAAGAAGAATTCTGAGAAACTTCCTAGGAATGTGTGCTTTCTTCTCACACTGTTGAACCTTTCTTTTGATTGAGCAGCTTCGATACAGTCATTTAGTAGAATCTGAAAGAGAATATTTGAGAGCCCATTGAGGCCTCTTGGGAAATAAGAAATATCTTCATCTAAAAACTAGACAAAAACTTTCTGAGAAACACCCTTGTGATGTGTGCATTCATCATACACAGTTGAACTTTCTTTTGATTGAGCAGTTTGGATACAGTCATTTGTATTATCTGTAAATGGATATTTGGAATGTACTGACGCCTATGGTGAAAAAGGAAATATCCTCACATAAAATTCAGATGGAAGCATTCTTAGAAACTCCTTTGTGATGTGTACATTCATCTCACAGACTTCAAACTTTCTATTGATTGAGCAGTGTTGAAACACTCTTTTTGTAGAATCTGCCAGTGGATATTTGGAGCGCTCTGTGGCCAATAGTGGAAAAGGAAATATCTTCATCAAAAAAATAAACAGAAGCACTTTGAGAAACTTCTCTGTGTTGTATGCAGTCATATCTCAGACATGAAACTTTCTTTGGTACAGCAGTTTTAAAACACTCTTTTTGGAGATTCTGAAAGTAGATATTTGGAGAGACTTGAGGACTACGGTGGAAAAGGAAATATCTTCACCAAAAAACTAGACAGAAACATTCTGAGAAGCTTCTTTGTGATGTGTGCATCCATCTCGAAGAGTTGAACCTTTCTTTTGATTGAGCATTTTTGAAGCACTCTTTTTGTAGAATCTTCAAGTGGATATTTGGAGTGTTTGTGGCCTGTGGTGGAAAAGGAAATATATTCACATAAAAACTAGATAGAAGCATTCTGAGAAACTTCTTTGTGATGTGCTCATTCAACTCACAGAGTTGAGCTTTTCTTTTGATTGAGCAGTTTGGAAACAGTCTTTTTGTAGAATCTGCAAGTGGATATTTGGAGCGCATGATGGCCTATAGTGGAAAAGGAAATATATTCACATAAAAACTAGACAGAAGCATGCTGAGAAACTTCTTTGTGATGCGTGCATTCAACTAAAAAAGTTGAACATTTCTTTTGATTGAGTAGTTTGGAAACAGTCTTTTTGTAGAATCTGCAAGTGGATATTTGGAGTGCTTTACGGCCTATAGTGGAAAACGAAATACCTTCACATAAAAACTAGACAGAAACATTATGAGAAACTGCTTTGTGATGCGTGCATTCATCACCAGAGTTGAATTTCTCTTTTGATTGATCAGTTTTGAAACACTCTTTCTGTAGAATCTGAAAGGGATATTTGGAGCGCTTTGCAGCCTATGGTGAAAAAGGAAATATCTTCACATAAAAGCTAGACAGAAGCATTCTAAGAAAGTGCTTTGTGACGTGTGCATTCATCTCACAGTGTTGAACCTTTCTTTTGATTGAGCAGTTTTGAAACACTCTTATTGTAGAATCTGCAAGTGGATATTTGGAGAGTTTGAGGTCACTGGTGGAAAAGCAAATATCTTCACATCAAAACTAGACAGAATCATTATAAGTAATCTCTTTGAGATGCAGTGCATTCAACTCACAGAGTTGGACCGTTTCCTTTGATTGAGCAGTTTGGAAACAGTCTTTTTGCAGTATCTGCAAGCGGATATTTGGAGCACTTTCAGGCCTATAGTAGGAAAGGAAATATCTTCACATAAAAACTAGACAGAAAATTACTGAGAAACTTCTTTATGATGTGTGCATTCATCTCACAGAGTTGAAACTTTCTTTTGATTGAGCAGTTTGGAAACACTCTTTTAGTAGAAACTGCAAGGGGATATTTGGAGCGTTTTGTGGTCTATGGCAGAAAAGGCTATATCTTCACATAAAAATAGAAGCATTCTGAGGAACTTCATGATGTGTGCATTAATCTCAAAGAGTTGAACTTTTCTTTTGATTGAGCAGCTTTGAAAATCTCTTTCTGCAGAATCTGCAAGTTGATATTTGGAGTGCTTTGTGGCCTATAGTAGAAAAGGAAATATCTTTACATAAAACTAGACAGAAGCATTCTCAGAAACTTCTTTGTGATGTGTGCATTCATCTCACAGACTTCAAACTTTCTATTGATTGAGCAGTTTTGAAACACTCTTTTTGCAGTATCTGCAAGTGTATATTTGAAGTGCTTTGAGGCTTCTGGTGGAAAAGGAAGCATCTTCACATAAAAACTAGACACAAGCATTCTGAGAAACTTCTTTGTGACGTGTGCATTCAACTCATGGAGTTCAACCTTTCTTTTGATTCAGCAGTTTGGAAACAGTCTTTTTACAGTATCTGCAGATGGATATTTGGAGAGCTTTGAGGCCTATGGTGGAAAAGGAAATCTCTTCCCATAAAAACTAGACAGCAGCATTCTGAGAAACTTATTTGTGATCTGTGCATTCATCTCACGGAGTTGAACCTTTCTTTTGATTCAGCAGTTTTGAAACTGTCGTTTTGTAGAATCTGCAAAGGAATATTTGTGAGCCCATGGAGGCTTCTGGGGTGATAGGAAATATCTTCACATAAAAACTAGACAGATACTTTCTGAGAAACTATTTTGTCATGTGTGACTTCTACTCACCAGGTTGAAACTTTCTCTTGATTGAGCAGTTTGGAAACAGTCTTTTTGTAGAATCTGCAAATTGATATTTGGAGTGCTTCTGGCCTACGTTGAAAAACGAAATATCTTCCCATAAAAAGTAGGCAGAAGTTTTGGAGAAATTTATTTTGATGTGTGCATTCATCTCACACAGTTGAAATTTTCTTTTGATTGAGCAGTGTGGATACACTCGTTTTGTAGCGTCTGCAAGTGGATATTTGGAGCACTTTGTGGCCTACAGTGAAAAAGGAAATATCTTCACATAAAAACTAGATAGAAGAATTCTGAGAAACTTCCTTTGAATGGGCGCATTCATCTCACACTGTTGAACTTTTTTTTTTGATTGAGCACCTTCTAAACAGTCATTTTGTAGAATATGCAAAGGAATATTTGTGAGCCCATTGATGCCTCTGGGGAAACAGGAAATATCTTCACATAAAAACGAGACAGAAATCTTTCTCAGAAACGTCTTGGTGATGTGTGCATTCATCTCACTGAGTTGAACTTTATTTTGATTGAGCAGTTTGGAAACAGTCTTTTCTAGTATCTGCAAATGGATATTTTAAGCACTCTGAGGCCTACAGTGAAAAAGGAAATATCTTCAATATAAATCAGACAGAAGCATTCATAGAAACTTCTTTGGGATGTGTGCATTCATCTCACCGACTAGAACCTTTCTTTTGATTGAGCAGTTTTGAAACACTCTTTTAGCGGAATCTGCAAGTGTTTATTTGGAACGCATGAGGAATATGGTGGAAAAGGAATCTTCTTCACATGAAAACGAGACGGAAACATTCTGAGAAACTTTTCTGTGATGGGCGCATTCATTTCACAAAGTTAAACCCTTCCTGTGATTGAATGGTTTGGAAACATTTGTTTTGTATAATCTGCAGAAGGATATTTTTGAGCTGATTGAGGCCTATGGGGCGATAGGAAATATGTTCACATAAAAACTAGACAGAAAGTTTCTGAGAAACTTCTTTGTGATATTTGCTTTTATCTCATAGAGTTGAAACTTTATTTTTATTGAGCAGTTTGGGAACAGTCTTTTTGTAGTATCTGCAAATGGATATTACCAGTGCTTTGAGGCCTATTTTGAAAAAGGAAATATCTTCACATAAAAACAAGGCAGAAGCATTCTGAGAAACTTCTTTTTGATGTCTGCATTCATCTCACAGAGTTGAACATTTCTTTTGATTGAGCAGTTTTGAAACGCTCTATTTGTAGTATCTGCAAGTGGATATTTGGAACGCTTTGAGGCCTATAGTGGAAAAGGAAATATCTTCACATAAAAAACTAGAAAGAAGAATTCTGAGAAACTTCCTAGGAAGCTGTATTTTCGTCTCACACTGTTAAACCCGTCTTTTGATTGAGCAGCTTCGATACAGTCATTTAGTAGAATATGAAAGGGAATATTTGAGAGCCCATTGAGGCCTCTGGGGAAATAAGAAATATCTTCACCTAAAAACTAGACAAAATCTTTCTGAGAAACCCCCTTGTGATGTGTGCATTCATCATGCACAGTTGAAATTTCTTTTGATTGAGCAGTTTGGATACAGTCATTTGTATTTTCTGTAAATGGATATTTGGAGTGTATTGAGGCCTATGGTGAAAAAGGAAATATCCTCACATAAAATTCAGATGGAAGCATTCTTAGAAACTCCTATGTGATGTGTGCATTCATCTCACAGACTTCAAACTTTCTATTGATTGAGCAGTTTTGAAACACTCTTTTTGTAGAATCTGCCAGTGGATATTTGGAGCGTTCTGTTGCCCATAGTGGAAAAGGAAATATCTTCATAAAAAAAATAAACAGAAGCACTTTGAGAAAGTTTTCTGTGTTGTATGCAGTCATAACTCAGACATGAAACTTTCTTTGGTACAGCAGTTTTAAAACACTCTTTTTGGAGATTCTGAAAGTAGATATTTGGAGAGACTTGAGGACTACGGTGGAAAAGGAAATATCTTCACAAAAAAACTAGACAGAAACATTCTGAGAAGCTTCTTTGTGATGTGTGCGTCCATTTCGAAGAGTTGAACCTTTCTTTTGATTGAGCATTTTTGAAGCACTCTTTTTGTAGAATCTTCAAGTGGATATTTGGAGGGTTTGTGGCCTGTGGTGGAAAAGGAAATATATTCACATAAAAACTAGATAGAAGCATTCTGAGAAACTTCTTTGTGATGTGCTCATACAACTCACAGAGTTGAGCTTTTCTTTTGATTGAGCAGTTTGGAAACAGTCTTTTTGTAGAATCTGCAAGTGGATATTAGGAGTGCATTACGGCCTATAGTGGAAAAGGAAATATATTCACATAAAAACTAGACAGAAGCATGCTGAGAAACTTCTTTGTGATGTGCTCATTCAACTCACAGAGTTGAACTTTTCTTTTGTTTGAGCAGTTTGCAAACAGTCTTTCTGTAGAATCTGCAAGTGGATATTAGGAGTGCATTACGGCCTATAGTGGAAAATGAAATATCTTCACATAAAAACTAGACAGAAATATTATGAGAAACTGCTTTGTGATGCGTGCATTCATCACCAGAGTTGAGTTTCTCTTTTGATTGAACAGTTTTGAAACTCTCTTTCTGTAGAATCTGAAAGGGATATTTGGAGCGCTTTGCAGCCTATGGTGAAAAAGGAAATATCTTCACATAAAAGCTAGACAGATGCATTCTAAGAAAGTGCTTTGTGACGTGTGCATTCATCTCACAGTGTTGAAGCTTTCTTTTGATTGAGCAGTTTTGAAACACTCTTATTGTAGAATCTGCAAGTGGATATTTGGAGAGTTTGAGGTCACTGGTGGAAAAGCAAATATCTTCACATCAAAACTAGACAGAATCATTATAAGTAATCTCTTTGAGATGCGTGCATTGAACTCACAGAGTTGGACATTTCCTTTGATTGAGCAGTGTGGAAACAGTCTTTTTGCAGTATCTGCAAACGGATATTTGGAGCACTTTCAGGCCTATAGTAGGAAAGGAAATATCTTCACATAAAAACTAGACAGAAAATTACTGAGAAACTTCTTAATGATGTGTGCATTCATCTCACAGAGTTGAAACTTCTTTTGATTGAGCAGTTTGGAAACACTCTTTTAGTAGAAACTGCAAGGGGATATTTGGAGCGTTTTGTGGTCTATGGTAGAAAAGGATATGTCTTCACATAAAAATAGAAGCATTCTGAGGAACTTCTTCATGACGTGTGCATTCATCTCAAAGAGTTGAACTTTTCTTTTGATTGAGCAGCTTTGAAAAACTCTTTCTGCAGAATCTGCAAGTTGATATTTGGAGTACTTTGCGGCCTATAGTAGAAAAGGAAATATCTTCACATAAAACTAGACAGAAGCATTCTGAGAAACTTCTTTGTGATGTGTGCATTCATCTCACAGAGTTGAATCTTTCTTTTGTTTGAGCAGTTTTGAAACTCTCTTTCTGTAGAATCTTCAAGTGGATATTTTTAGCGCTTTGAGGCCTATGGTGGAAAAGAAAATATCTTCACATAAAAACTAGTCAGAAGAATTCTGAGAAACTTCTTTGTGACGTGTGCATTCAACTCATGGAGTTCAACCTTTCTTTTGATTCAGCAGTTTGGAAACAGTCTTTTTACAGTATCTGCAAATGGCTATTTGGAGAGCTTTGAGGCCTATGGTGGAAAAGGAAATCTCTTCCCATAAAAACTAGACAGCAGCATTCTGAGAAACTTATTTGTGATCTGTGCATTCATCTCACAGAGTTGAACCTTTCTTTTGATTCAGCAGTTTTGAAACTGTCGTTTTGTAGAATCTGCAAAGGAATATTTGTGAGCCCATTGAGGCTTCTGGGGTGATAAGAAATATCTTCACATAAAAACTAGACAGATACTTTCTGAGAAACTATTTTGTCATGTGTGACTTCTACTCACCAGGTTGAAACTTTCTCTTGATTGAGCAGTTTGGAAACAGTCTTTTTGTAGAATCTGCAAATTGATATTTGGAGTGCTTTTGGCCTACGTTGAAAAACGAAATATCTTCCCATAAAAAGTAGGCAGAAGTTTTGGAGAAATTTATTTTGATGTGTGCATTCATCTCACACAGTTGAAATTTTCTTTTGATTGAGCAGTGTGGATACACTCGTTTTGTAGAGTCTGCAAGTGGATATTTGGAGCACTTTGTGGCCTACAGTGAAAAAGGAAATATCTTCACATAAAAACTAGATAGAAGAATTCTGAGAAACTTCCTTTGAATGTGCGCATTCATCTCACATTGTTGAACTTTTTTTTTTGATTGAGCACCTTCTAAACAGTCATTTTGTAGAATATGCAAAGGAATATTTGTGAGCCCATTGATGCCTCTGGGGAAATAGGAAATATCTTCACATAAAAACGAGACAGAATCTTTCTCAGAAACGTCTTGGTGATGTGTGCATTCATCTCACTGAGTTGAACTTTATTTTGATTGAGCAGTTTGGAAAGTGTCTTTTCTAGTATCTGCAAATGGATATTTTAAGCACTCTGAAGCCTACGGTGAAAAAGGAAATATCTTCAATATAAATCAGACAGAAGCATTCATAGAAACTTCTTTGTGATGTGTGCATTCGTCTCACCGACTAGAACCTTTCTTTTGATTGAGCAGTTTTGAAACACTCTTTTAGCAGAATCTGCAAGTGTTTATTTGGAGTGCATGAGGAATATGGTGGAAAAGGAATCTTCTTCACATAAAAACGAGACAGAAGCATTCTGAGAAACTTCTCTGTGATGGGTGCATTCATTTCACAGAGTTAAACCTTTCCTGTGATTGAGCGGTTTGGAAACAGTCGTTTTTTATAATCTGCAGAAGGATACTTGTGAGCCGATTGAGGTCTATGGGGTGATAAGAAATATGTTCACATAAAAACTAGATAGAAAGTTTCTGAGAAACTTCTTTGTGATATTTGCTTTTATCTCCTAGAGTTGAAACTTTCTTTTTATTGAGCAGTTTGGGGACAGTCTTTTTGTAGTATCTGCAAATGGATATTACCAGTGCTTTGAGGCCTATGGTGAAAAAGGAAATATCTTCACATAAAAACAAGGCGGAAGCATTCTGAGAAACTTCTTTTTGATGTCTGCATTCATCTCACAGAGTTGAACCTTTCTTTTGATTGAGCAGTTTTGAAAGGCTCTATTTGTAGGATCTGCAAGTGGATATTTGGAACGCTTTGAGGCCTATAGTGGAAAACGAAATATCTTCACATAAAAACCTAGAAGGAAGAATTCTGAGAAACTTCCTAGGAAGGTGTATTTTCGTCTCACACTGTTAAACCCGTCTTTTGATTGAGCAGCTTCGATACAGTCATTTAGTAGAATATGAAAGGGAATATTTGAGATCCCATTGAGGCCTCTGGGGAAATAAGAAATATCTTCACCTAAAAACAAGACAAAAACTTTCTGAGAAACACCCTTGTGATGTGTGCATTCATCATACACAGTTGAACTTTCTTTTGATTGAGCAGTTTGGATACAGTCATTTGTATTATCTGTAAATGGATATTTGGAGTGTACTGAGGCCTATGGTGAAAAAGGAAATATCCTCACATAAAATTCAGATGGAAGCATTCTTAGAAACTCCTTTGTGATGTGTACATTCATCTCACACACTTCAAACTTTCTACTGATTGAGCAGTTTTGAAACACTCTTTTTGTAGAATCTGCCAGTGGATATTTGGAGCGCTCTGTGGCCCATAGTGGAAAAGGAAATATCTTCATAAGAAAAATAAACAGAAGCACTTTGAGAAAGTTCTCTGTGTTGTATGCAGTCATAACTCAGACATGAAACTTTCTTTGGTACAGCAGTTTTAAAACACTCTTTATGGAGATTCTGAAAGTAGATATTTGGAGAGACTTGAGGACTACGGTGGAAAAGGAAATATCTTCACAAAAAAACTAGACAGAAACATTCTGAGAAGCTTCTTTGTGATGTGTGCATCCATCTCAAAGCAGTTGAACCTTTCTTTTGATTGAGCATTTTTGAAGCACTCTTTTTGTAGAATCTTCAAGTGGATATTTGGAGTGTTTGTGGCCTGTGGTGGAAAAGGAAATATATTCACATAAAAACTAGATAGAAGCATTCTGAGAAACTTCTTTGTGATGTGCTCATTCATCTCACAGAGTTGAACTTTTCTTTTGATTGAGCAGTTTGGAAACAGTCTTTTTGTAGAATCTGCAGGTGGATATTTGGAGCGCATTACGGCCTATAGTGGAAAAGGAAATATATTCACATAAAAACTAGACAGAAGCATTCTGAGAAACTTATTTGTGATGTGCTCATTCAACTCACAGATTTAAACTTTTCTTTTGATTGAGCAGTTTGGAAACAGTCTTTTTGTAGTACCTGCAAATGGATATTTGGAGTGCTTTGGGGCCTGTGGTGGAAAAGGAAATATATACACACAAAAACTAGACAGATAAATATTATGAGAAACTGCTCTGTGATGCGTGCATTCATCACCAGGGTTGAACCTTTCTTTTGATTGAACAGTTTTGAAACACTCTTTCTGTAGAATCTGAAGGGGATATTTGGAACGCCTTGCGGCCTATGGTGAAAAACGAAATATCTTCACATAAAAACTAGACAGAAGCATTCTAAGAAAGTGCTTTGTGACGTGTGCATTCATCTCACAGTGTTGAACCTTTCTTTGATTGAGCAGTTTTGAAACACTCTTATTGTAGAATCTGCAAGTGGATATTTGGAGAGTTTGAGGCCACTGGTGGAAAAGCAAATATCTTCACATCAAAACTAGACAGAATCATTATGAGTAATCTCTTTGAGATGCGTGCATTCAACTCACAGCATTTGGACATTTCCTTTGATTGAGCAGTTTGGAAACAGTCTTTTTGCAGTATCTGCAAACGGATATTTGGAGCACTTTCAGGCCTATAGTAGGAAAGGAAATATCTTCACATAAAAACTAGACAGAAAATTACTGAGAAACTTCTTATTGATGAGTGCATTCATCTCACAGAGTTGAAACTTCTTTTGATTGAGCAGTTTGGAAACACTCTTTTAGTAGAAACTGCAAGGGGATATTTGGAGCGTTTTGTCGTCTATGGTAGAAAAGGCTATATCTTCACATAAAAATAGAAGCATTCTGAGGAACTTCCTGATGTGTGCATTCATCTCAAAGAGTTGAACTTTTCTTTTGATTGAGCAGCTTTGAAAAACTCTTTCTGCAGAATCTGCAAGTTGATATTTGGAGTGCTTTGTGGCCTATAGTAGAAAAGGAAATATCTTTACATAAAACCAGACAGAAGCATTCTTAGAAACTTCTTTGTGATGTGTACATTCATCTCACAGACTTCAACCTTTCTTTTGATTGAGCAGTTTTGAAACACTCTTTTTGCAAGATCTGCAAGTGTATATTTGAAGCACTTTGAGGCCTCTGGTGGAAAAGGAAACATCTTCACATAAAAGCTAGACACAAGCATTCTGAGAAACGCCTTTGTGACGTGTGCATTCAACTCATGGAGTTCAACCTTTCTTTTGATTCAGCAGTTTGGAAACAGTCTTTTTACAGTGTCTGCAAATGGATATTTGGAGAGCTTTGAGGCCTATGGTGGAAAAGGAAATATCTTCCCATAAAAACTAGACAGCAGCATTCTGAGAAACTTATTTGTGATCTGTGCATTCATCTCCCAGAGTTGAACCTTTCTTTTGATTCAGCAGTTTTGAAACTGTCGTTTTGTAGAATCTGCAAAGGAATATTGTGAGCCCATTGAGGCTTCTGGGGTGATAGGAAATATCTTCACGTAAAAACTAGACAGATACTTTCTGAGAAACTATTTTGTCATGTGTGACTTCTACTCACCGGGTTGAAACTTTCTCTTGATTGAGCAGTTTGGAAACGGTCTTTTTGTAGAATCTGCAAATTGATATTTGGAGTGCTTTTGGCCTATGTTGAAAAACAAAATATCTTCCCATAAAAAGTAGGCAGAAGCTTTTGGAGAAATTTCTTTGTGATGTGTGCATTCATCTCACACAGTTGAACTTTTCTTTTGATTGAGCAGTGTGGAAACACTCTTTTTGTAGAGTCTGCAAGTGGATATTTTGAGTGCTTTGTGGCCTATAGTGAAAAAGGAAATATCTTCACATAAAAACTGGACAGAAGAATTCTGAGAAACTTCCTTTGAATGGGCGCATTCATCTCACACTGTTGAAATTTTTTTTTGATTGAGCACCTTCTAAACAGTCATTTTGTAGAATGTGCAAAGGAATATTTGTGAGCCCATTGATGCCTCTGGGGAAACAGGAAATATCTTCACATAAAAACGAGACAGAATCTTTCTCAGAAACGTCTTGGTGATGTGTGCATTCATCTCACTGAGTTGAACTTTATTTTGATTGAGCAGTTTGGAAACAGTCTTTTCTAGTATCTGCAAATGGATATTTTAAGCACTCTGAGGCCTACGGTTAAAAAGGAAATATCTTCAATATAAATCAGACAGAAGCATTCATAGAAACTTCTTTGTGATGTGTGCATTCATCTCACCGACTAGAACCTTTCTTTTGATTGAGCAGTTTTGAAACACTCTTTTAGCGGAATCTGCAAGTGTTTATTTGGAGCGCATGAGGAATATGGTGGAAAAGGAATCTTCTTCACATGGAAACGAGACGGAAGCATTCTGAGAAACTTCTCTGGGATGGATGCATTCATTTCACAGAGTTAAACCTTTCCTGTGATTGAGCGGTTTGGAAACAGTAGTTTTTTACAATCTGCAGAAGGATACTTGTGAGCCGATTGAGGTCTATGGGGTGATAAGAAATATGTTCACATAAAAACTAGATAGAAAGTTTCTGAGAAACTTCTTTGTGATATTAGCTTTTATCTCATAGAGTTGAAACTTTCTTTTTATTGAGCAGTTTGGGAACAGTCTTTTTGTAGTATCTACAAATGGATATTACCAGTGCTTTGAGGCCTATGGTGAAAAAGGAAATATCTTCACATAAAAACAAGGCGGAAGCATTCTGAGAAACTTCTTTTTGATGTCTGCATTCATCTCACAGAGTTGAACCTTTCTTTCGATTGAGCAGTTTTGAAAGGCTCTATTTGTAGGATCTGCAAGTGGATATTTGGAACGCTTTGAGGCCTATAGTGGAAAAGGAAATATCTTCACATAAAAACCTAGAAAGAAGAATTCTGAGAAACTTCCCAGGAAGGTGTATTTTCGTCTCACACTGTTAAACCTTTCTTTTGATTGAGCAGATTCGATACAGTCGTTTAGTAGAATATGAAAGGGAATATTTGAGAGCCCATTGAGGCCTCTGGGGAAGTAAGAAATAACTTCACCTAAAAATTAGACAAAAACTTTCTGAGAAACTTCCTTGTGATGTGTGTATTCATCATACACAAGTTGAACTTTCTTTTGATTGAGCGGTTTGGATACAGTCATTTGTATTATCTATAAATGGATATTTGGAGCGTATTGAGGCCTATGGTGAAAAAGGAAATATCCTCACATAAAATTCAGATGGAAGCATTCTTAGAAACTCCTTTGTGATGTGCACATTCATCTCACAGACTTCAAACTTTCTATTGATTGAGCAGTTTTGAAACACTCTTTTTGTAGAATCTGCCAGTGGATATTTGGAGCGCTCTGTGGCCCATAGTGGAAAAGGAAATATCTTCATAAGAAAAATAAACAGAAGCACTTTGAGAAACTTCTCTGTGTTGTATGCAGTCATATCTCAGACATGAAACTTTCTTTGGTACAGCAGTTTTCAAACACTCTTTTTGGAGATTCTGAAAGTAGATATTTGGAGAGACTTGAGGACTACGGTGGAAAAGGAAATATCTTCACAAAAAAACTAGACAGAAACATTCTGAGAAGCTTCTTTGTGATGTGTGCATCCATCTCAAAGAGTTGAAACTTTCTTTTGATTGAGCATTTTTGAAGCACTCTTTTTGTAGAATCTTCAAGTGGATATTTGGAGTGTTTGTGGCCTGTGGTGGAAAAGGAAATATATTCACTTAAAAACTAGACAGAAGCATTCTGAGAAACTTCTTTCTGATGTGCTCATTCAACTCACAGAGTTGAGCTTTTCTTTTGATTGAGCAGTTTGGAAACAGTCTTTTTGTAGAAACTGCAAGTGGATATTTGGAGCGCATTACGGCCTATAGTGGAAAAGGAAATATATTCACATAGAAACTAGACAGAAGCATTCTGAGAAACTTCTTTGTGATGTGCTCATTCAACTCACAGAGTTGAACTTTTCTTTTGTTTGAGCAGTTTGCAAACAGTCTTTTGTAGAATCTGCAAGTGGATATTAGGAGTGCATTACGGCCTATAGTGGAAAATGAAATAACTTCACATAAAAAATAGACAGAAACATGATGAGAAACTACTATGTGATGCGTGCATTCATAACCAGAGTTGTGTTTCTCTTTTGATTGAACAGTTTTGAAACACTCTTTCTGTTGAATCTGAAAGGGATATTTGGAGCGCTTTGCAGCCTATGGTGAAAAAGGAAATATCTTCACATAAAAGCTAGACAGAAGCATTCTAAGAAAGTGCTTTGTGACGTGTGCATTCATCTCAGAGTGTTGAACCTTTCTTTTGATTGAGCAGTTTTGAAACACTCTTATTGTAGAATCTGCAAGTGGATATTTGGAGAGTTTGAGGCCACTGGTGGAAAAGCAAATATCTTCACATCAAAACTAGACAGAATCATTATAAGTAATCTCTTTGAGATGCGTGCATTCAACTCACAGAGTTGGACATTTCCTTTGATTGAGCAGTTTGGAAACAGTCTTTATGCAGTATCTGCAAACGGATATTTGGAGCACTTTCAGGCCTATAGTAGGAAGGGAAATATCTTCACATAAAAACTAGACAGCAAATTACTGAGACACTTCTTAATGATGTGTGCATTCATCTCACAGCGTTGAAACTTTCTTTTGATTGAGCCGTTTGGAAACACTCTTTTAGTAGAAACTGCAAGGGGATATTTGGAGCGTTTTGTGGTCTATGGTAGAAAAGGATATGTTCACATAAAAATAGAAGCATTCTGAGGAACTTCCTGATGTGTGCATTCGTCTCAAAGAGTTGAACTTTTCTTTTGATTGAGCAGCTTTGAAAAACTCTTTCTGCAGTATCTGCAAGTTGATATTTGGAGTGCTTTGTGGCCTATAGTAGAAAAGGAAATATCTTTACATAAAACTAGACAGAAGCATTCTGAGGAAACTTCTTTGTGATGTGTGCATTCATCTCACAGAGTTGAATCTTTCTTTTGTTTGAGCAGTTTTGAAACTCTCTTTTTGTAGAATCTTCAAGTGGATATTTTCAGCGCTTTGAGGCCTACGGTGGAAAAGAAAATATCTTCACATAAAAACTAGTCAGAACCATTCTGAGAAACTTCTTTATGACGTGTGCATTCAACTCATGGAGTTCAACCTTTCTTTTGATTCAGCAGTTTGGAAACAGTCTTTTTACAGTATCTGCAAATGGCTATTTGGAGAGCTTTGAGGCCTATGGTGGAAAAGGAAATCTCTTCCCATTAAAACTAGACAGCAGCATTCTGAGAAACTTATTTGTGATCTGTGCATTAATCTCACAGAGTTGAACCTTTCTTTTGATTCAGCAGTTTTGAAACTGTCGTTTTGTAGAATCTGCAAAGGAATATTTGTGAGACCATTGAGGCTTCTGGGGTGATAGGAAATATCTTCACATAAAAACTAGACAGATACTTTCTGAGAAACTATTTTGTCATGTGTGACTTCTACTCACTGGGTTGAAACTTTCTCTTGATTGAGCAGTTTGGAAACAGTCTTTTTGTAGAATCTGCAAATTGATATTTGGAGTGCTTTTGGCCTACGTTGAAAAACGAAATATCTTCCCATAAAAAGTAGGCAGAAGTTTTGGAGAAATTTATTTTGATGTGTGCATTCATCTCACACAGTTGAAATATTCTTTTGATTGTGCAGTGTGGATACACTCGTTTTGTAGAGTCTGCAAGTGGATATTTGGAGCACTTTGTGGCCTATAGTGAAAAAGGAAATATCTTCACATAAAAACTAGATAGAAGAATTCTGAGAAACTTCCTTTGAATGGGCGCATTCATCTCACACTGTTGAACTTTTTTTTTGATTGAGCACCTTCTAAACAGTCATTTTGTAGAATAGGCAAAGGAATGTTTGTGAGCCCATTGATGCCTCTGGAGAAACAGGAAATATCTTCACATAAAAACGAGACAGAATCTTTCTCAGAAACGTCTTGGTGATGTGTGCATTCATCTCACTGAGTTGAACTTTACTTTGATTGAGCAGTTTGGAAACAGTCTTTTCTAGTATCTGCAAATGGATATTTTAAGCACTCTGAGGCCTACGGTGAAAAAAGAAATATCTTCAATATAAATCAGACAGAAGCATTCATAGAAACTTCTTTGTGATGTGTGCATTCATCTCACTGACTAGAACCTTTCTTTTGATTGAGCAGTTTTGAAACACTTTTATAGCAGAATCTGCAAGTGTTTATTTAGAGTGCATGAGGAATATGGTGGAAAAGGAATCTTCTTCACATAAAAACGAGACAGAAGCATTCTGAGAAACTTCTCTGTGATGGGTGCATTCATTTCACAGAGTGGAACCTTTCCTGTGATTGAGTGGTTTGGAAACAGTCGTTTTTTATAATCTGCAGAAGGATACTTGTGAGCCATTGAGGTCTATGGGGTGATAAGAAATATGTTCACATAAAAACTAGATAGAAAGTTTCTGAGAAACTTCTTTGTGATATTTGCTTTTATCTCCTAGAGTTGAAACTTTCTTTTTATTGAGCAGTTTGGGGACAGTCTTTTTGTAGTATCTGCAAATGGATATTACCAGTGCTTTGAGGCCTATGGTGGAAAAGGAAATATCTTCACATAAAAACAAGGCGGAAGCATTCTGAGAAACTTCTTTTTGATGTATGCATTCATCTCACAGAGTTGAACCTTTCTTTTGATTGAGCAGTTTTGAAACGCTCTATTTGTAGTATCTGCAAGTGGATATTTGGAACGCTTTGAGGCCTATAGTGGAAAAGGAAATATCTTCACATAAAAAACTAGAAAGAAGAATTCTGAGAAACTTCCTAGGAAGGTGTGTTTTCGTCTCACACTGTTAAACCCGTCTTTTGATTGAGCAGCTTCGATACAGTCATTTAGTAGAATATGAAAGGGAATATTTGAGAGCCCATTGAGGCCTCTGGGGAAATAAGAAATATCTTCACCTAAAAACTAGACAAAATCTTTCTGAGAAACAGCCTTGTGATGTGTGCCTTCATCATACACAGTTGAACTTTCTTTTGATTGAGCAGTTTGGATACAGTCATTTGTATTATCTGTAAATGGATATTTGGAGTGTACTGAGGCCTATGGTGAAAAAGGAAATATCCTCACATAAAATTCAGATGGAAGCATTCTTAGAAACTCCTTTGTGATGTGTACATTCATCTCACAGACTTCAAACTTTCTATTGATTGAGCAGTTTTGAAACACCCTTTTTGTAGAATCTGCCAGTGGATATTTGGAGCACTCTGTGGCCCATAGTGGAAAAGGAAATATCTTCATAAGAAAAATAAACAGAAGCACTTTGAGAAACTTCTCTGTGTTGTATGCAGTCATATCTCAGACATGAAACTTTCTTTGGTACAGGAGTTTTAAAACACTCTTTTTGGAGATTCTGAAAGTAGATATTTGGAGAGACTTGAGGACTACGGTGGAAAAGGAAATATCTTCACAAGAAAACTAGACAGAAACATTCTGAGAAGCTTCTTTGTGTTGTGTGCGTCCATCTCGAAGAGTTGAACCTTTGTTTTGATTGCGCATTTTTGAGGCACTCTTTTTGTAGAATCTTCAAGTGGATATTTGGAGGGTTTGTGGCCTGTGGTGGAAAAGCAAATATATTCACATAAAAACTAGATAGAAGCATTCTGAGAAACTTCTTTGTGATGTGCTCATTCAACTCACAGAGTTGAGCTTTTCTTTTGATTGAGCAGTTTGGAAACAGTCTTTCTGTAGAATCTGCAAGTGGATATTTGGAGCGCATTACGGCCTATAGTGGAAAAGGAAATATATTCACATAAAAACTAGACAGAAGCATTCTGAGAAACTTCTTTGTGATGTGCTCATTCAACTCACAGAGTTGAGCTTTTCTTTTGATTGAGCAGTTTGGAAACAGTCTTTCTGTAGAATCTGCAAGTGGATATTAGGAGTGCATTACGGCCTATAGTGGAAAATGAAATATCTTCACATAAAAACTAGACAGAAACATTATGAGAAACTGCTTTGTGATGCGTGCATTCATCACCAGAGTTGAGTTTCTCTTTTGATTGAACAGTTTTGAAACACTCTTTCTGTAGAATCTGAAAGGGATATTTGGAGCGCTTTGCAGCCTATGGTGTAAAAGGAAACATCTTCCCATAAAAGCTAGACAGAAGCATTCTAAGAAAGTGCTTTGTGACGCGTGCATTCATCTGACAGTGTTGAACCTTTCTTTTGATTGAGCAGTTTTGAAACACTCTTATTGTAGAATCTGCAAGTGGATATTTGGAGAGTTTGAGGCCACTGGTGGAAAAGCAAATATCTTCACATCAAAACTAGACAGAATCATTATAAGTAATCTCTTTGAGATGCGTGCATTCAACTCACAGAGTTGGACGTTTCCTTTGATTGAGCAGTTTGGAAACAGTCTTTTTGCGGTATCTGCAAGCGGATATTTGGAGCACTTTCAGGCCTATAGTAGGAAAGGAAATATCTTCACATAAAAACTAGACAGAAAATTACTGAGAAACTTCGTAATGATGTGTGCATTCATCTCACAGAGTTGAAACTTTCCTGTGATTGAGCAGTTTGGAAACACTCTTTTAGTAGAAAGTGCAAGGGGATATTTGGAGGGTTTTATGGTCTATGGTAGAAAAGGTTATCTTCACATAAAAATAGAAGCATTCTGAGGAACTTCCTGATGTGTGCATTCATCTCAAAGAGTTGAACTTTTCTTTTGATTGAGCAGCTTTGAAAAACTCTTTCTGCAGAATCTGCAAGTTGATATTTGGAAAGCTTTGTGGCCTATAGTAGAAAAGGAAATATCTTTACATAAAACTAGACAGAAGCATTCTGAGAAACTTCTTTGTGATGTGTGCATTCATCTCACAGAGTTGAATCTTTCTTTTGTTTGAGCAGTTTTGAAACTCTCTTTTTGTAGAATCTTCAAGTGGATATTTTCAGCGCTTTGAGGCCTACGGTGGAAAAGAAAATATCTTCACATAAAAACTAGTCAGAAGCATTCTGAGAAACTTCTTTGTGACGTGTGCATTCAACTCATGGAGTTCAACCTTTCTTTTCATTCAGCAGTTTGGAAACAGTCTTTTTACAGTATCTGCAAATGGCTATTTGGAGAGCTTTGAGGCCTATGGTGGAAAAGGAAATCTCTTCCCATAAAAACTAGACAGCAGCATTCTGAGAAACTTATTTGTGATCTGTGCATTCATCTCACAGAGTTGAACCTTTCTTTTGATTCAGCAGTTTTGAAACTGTCGTTTTGTAGAATCTGCAAAGGGATATTTGTGAGCCCATTGAGGCTTCTGGGGAGATAGGAAATATCTTCACATAACAACTAGACAGATACTTTCTGAGAAACTATTTTGTCATGTGTGACTTCAACTCACCGGGTTGAAACTTTCTCTTGATTGAGCAGTTTGGGAACAGTCTTTTTGTAGAATCTGCAAATGAATATTTGGAGCACTTTTGGCCTATGTTGAAAAATGAAGTATCTTTCCATAAAAACTAGGCAGAAGTTTTGGAGAAATTTATTTTGATGTGTGCATTCATCTCACACAGTTGAAATTTTCTTTTGATTGAGCAGTGTGGATACACTCGTTTTGTAGAGTCTGCAAGTGGATATTTGGAGCACTTTCTGGCCTATAGTGAAAAAGGAAATATCTTCACATAAAAACTAGATAGAAGAATTCTGAGAAACTTCCTTTGAATGGGTGCATTCATCTCACACTGTTGAACTTTTTTTTTGATTGAGCACCTTCTAAAGAGTCATTTTGTAGAATCTGCAAAGGAATATTTGTGAGCCCATTGATGCCTCTGGGGAAACAGGAAATATCTTCACATAAAAACGAGACAGAATCTTTCTCAGAAACGTCTTGGTGATGTGTGCATTCATCTCACTGAGTTGAACTTTATTTTGATTGAGCAGTTTGGAAACAGTCTTTTCTAGTATCTGCAAATGTATATTTTAAGCACTCTGAGGCCTACGGTGAAAAAGGAAATATCTTCAATATAAATCAGACAGAAGCATTCATAGAAACTTCTTTGTGATGTGTGCATTCATCTCACCGACTAGAACCTTTCTTTTCATTGAGCAGTTTTGAAACACTCTTTTAGCGGAATCTGCAAGTGTTTATTTGGAGCGCATGAGGAATATGGTGGAAAAGGAATCTTCTTCACTTGAAAACGAGACGGAAACATTCTAAGAAACTTCTCCGTGATGGATGCATTCATTTCACAGAGTTAAACCTTTCCTGTGATTGAGCGGTTTGGAAACAGTAGTTTTTTACAATCTGCAGAAGGATACTTGTGAGCCGATTGAGGTCTATGGGGTGATAAGAAATATGTTCACATAAAAACTAGATAGAAAGTTTCTGAGAAACTGCTTTGTGATATTAGCTTTTATCTCATAGAGTTGAAAATTTCTTTTTATTGAGCAGTTTGGGAACAGTCTTTTTGTAGTATCTGCAAATGGATATTACCAGTGCTTTGAGGCGTATGGTGAAAAAGGAAATATCTTCACATAAAAACAAGGCGGAAGCATTCTGAGAAACTTCTTTTTGATGTCTGCATTCATCTCACAGAGTTGAACCTTTCTTTTGATTGAGCAGTTTTGAAAGGCTCTATTTGTAGGATCTGCAAGTGGATATTTGGAACGCTTTGAGGCCTATAGTGGAAAAGGAAATATCTTCACATAAAAACCTAGAAAGAAGAATTCTGAGAAACTTCCGAGGAAGGTGTATTTTCGTCTCACACTGTTAAACCCGTCTTTTGATTGAGCAGCTTCGATACAGTCATTTAGGAGAATATGAAAGGGAATATTTGAGAGCCCATTGAGGCCTCTGGGGAAATAAGAAATATCTTCACCTAAAAGCTAGACAAAAACTTTCTGAGAAACACCCTTCTGATGTGTGCATTCATCATACACAGTTGAACATTCTTTTGATTGAGCAGTTTGGATACAGTCATTTGTATTATCTGTAAATGGATATTTGGAGTGTATTGAGGCCTATGGTGAAAAAGGAAATATCCTCACATAAAATTCAGATGGAAGCATTCTTAGAAACTCCTTTGTGATGTGTGCATTCATCTCACAGACTTCAAACTTTCTATTGATTGAGCAGTTTTGAAACACTCTTTTTGTAGAATCTGCAAGTCGATATTTGGAGCGCTCTGTGGCCCATAGTGGAAAAGGAAATATCTTCATAAAAAAAATAAACAGAAGCACTTTGAGAAACTTCTCTGTGCTGTATGCAGTCATATCTCAGACATGAAACTTTCTTTGATACAGCAGTTTTAAAACACTCTTTTTGGAGATTCTGAAAGTAGATATTTGAGAGACATGAGGACTATGGTGGAAAAGGAAATATCTTCACACAAAAACTAGACAGAAACATTCTGAGAAGCTTCTTTGTGATGTGTGCATCCATCTCAAAGAGTTGAACCTTTCTTTTGATTGACCATTTTTGAAGCACTCTTTTTGTAGAATCTTCAAGTGGATATTTGGAGTGTTTGTGGCCTGAGGTGGAAAAGGAAATATATTCACATAAAAACTAGATAGAAGCATTCTGAGAAACTTCTTTCTGATGTGCTCATTCAACTCACAGAGTTGAGCTTTTCTTTTGATTGAGCAGTTTGGAAACAGTCTTTTTGTAGAAACTGCAAGTGGATATTTGGAGCGCATTACGGCCTATAGTGGAAAAGGAAATATATTCACATAAAAACTAGACAGAAGCATTCTGAGAAACTTCTTTGTGATGTGCTCATTCAACTCACAGAGTTGAACTTTTCTTTTGTTTGAGCAGTTTGCAAACAGTCTTTCTGTAGAATCTGCAAGTGGATATTAGGAGTGCATTACGGCCTATAGTGGAAAATGAAATATCTTCACATAAAAACCAGACAAAAACATTATGAGAAACTGCTTTGTGATGCGTGCATTCATCACCAGTGTTGAGTTTCTCTTTTGATTGAACAGTTTTGAAACACTCTTTCTGTAGAATCTGAAAGGGATATTTGGAGCGCTTTGCAGCCTATGGTGAAAAAGGAAATATCTTCACATAAAAGCTAGACAGAAGCATTCTAAGAAAGTGCTTTGTGACGTGTGCATTCACCTCACAGTGTTGAACCTTTCTTTTGATTGAGCAGTTTTGAAACACTCTTATTGTAGAATCTGCAAGTGGATATTTGGAGAGTTTGAGGCCACTGGTGGAAAAGCAAATATCTTCACATCAAAACTAGACAGAATCATTATAAGTAATCTCTTTGAGATGCGTGCATTCAACTCACAGAGTTGGACATTTCCTTTGATTGAGCAGTTTGGAAACAGTCTTTTTGCAGTATCTGCAAACGGATATTTGGAGCACTTTCAGGCCTATAGTAGGAAATTAAATATCTTCACATAAAAACTAGACAGAAAATTACTGAGAAACTTCTTAATGATGTGTGCATTCATCTCACAGAGTTGAAACTTTCTTTTGATTGAGCAGTTTGGAAACACTCTTTTAGTAGAAACTGCAAGGGGATATTTGGAGCATTTTGTGGTCTATGGTAGAAAAGGCTATATCTTCACATAAAAATAGAAGCATTTTGAGGAACTTCATGATGTGTGCATTCATCTCAAAGAGTTGAACTTTTCTTTTGATTGAGTAGCTTTGAAAAACTCTTTCTGCAGAATCTGCAAGTTGATATTTGGAGTGCTTTGTGGCCTATAGTAGAAAAGGAAATATCTTTACTTAAAACTAGACAGAAGCATTCTGAGAAACTTCTTTGTGATGTGTGCATTCATCTCACAGAGTTGAATCTTTCTTTTGTTTGAGCAGTTTTGAAACTCTCTTTCTGTAGAATCTTCAAGTGGATATTTTTAGTGCTTTGAGGACTATGGTGGAAAAGAAAATATCTTCACATAAAAACTAGTCAGAAGCATTCTGAGAAACTTCTTTGTGACGTGTGCATTCAACTCATGGAGTTCAACCTTTCTTTTGATTCAGCAGTTTGGAAACAGTCTTTTTACAGTATCTGCAGATGGATATTTGGAGAGCTTTGAGGCCTATGGTGGAAAAGGAAATATCTTCCCATAAAAACTAGACAGCAGCATTCTGAGAAACTTATTTGTGATCTGCGCATTCATCTCACAGAGTTGAACCTTTCTCTTGATTCAGCAGTTTTGAAACTGTCGTTTTGTAGAATCTGCAAAGGAATATTTGTGAGCCCATTGAGGCTTCTGGGGTGATAGGAAATATCTTCACATAAAAACTAGACAGATACTTTCTGAGAAACTATTTTGTCATGTGTGTCTTCTACTCACCGGGTTGAAACTTTCTGTTGATTGAGCAGTTTGGAAACAGTCTTTTTGTAGAATCTGCAAATTGATATTTGGAGTGCTTTTGGCCTACATTGAAAAACGAAATATCTTCCCATAAAAAGTAGGCAGAAGTTTTGGAGAAATTTATTTTGATGTGTGCATTCATCTCACACAGTTGAAATTTTCTTTTGATTGAGCAGTGTGGATACACTCGTTTTGCAGAGTCTGCAAGTGGATATTTGGAGCACTTTGTGGCCTATAGTGAAAAAGGAAATATCTTCACATAAAAACTAGATAGAAGAATTCTGAGAAACTTCCTTTGAATGGGCGCATTCATCTCACACTGTTGAACTTTTTTTTTTGATTGAGCACCTTCTAAACAGTCATTTTGTAGAATATGCAAAGGAATATTTGTGAGCCCATTGATGCCTCTGCGGAAACAGGAAATATCTTCACATAAAAACGAGACAGAATCTTTCTCAGAAACGTCTTGGTGATGTGAGCATTCATCTCACTGAGTTGAACTTTATTTTGATTGAGCAGTTTGGAAACAGTCTTTTCTAGTATCTGCAAATGGATATTTTAAGCACTCTGAGGCCTACGGTGAAAAAGGAAATATCTTCAATATAAATCAGACAGAAGGATTCATAGAAACTTCTTTGTGATGTGTGCATTCATCTCACCGACTAGAACCTTTCTTTTGATTGAGCAGTTTTGAAACACTCTTTTAGCGGAATCTGCAAGTGTTTATTTGGAGCGCATGAGGAATATGGTGGAAAAGGAATCTTCTTCACATAGAAACGAGATGGAAGCATTCTGAGAAACTTCTCTGTGATGGATGCATTCATTTCACAGAGTTAAACCTTTCCTGTGATTGAGCGGTTTGGAAACAGTAGTTTTTTACAATCTGCAGAAGGATACTTGTGAGCCGATTGAGGTCTATGGGGTGATAAGAAATATGTTCACATAAAAAATAGATAGAAAGTTTCCGAGAAACTTCTTTGTGATATTTGCTTTCATCTCATAGAGTTGAAACTTTCTTTTTATTGAGCTGTTTGGGAACAGTCTTTTTGTAGTACCTGCAAATGGATATTACCAGTGCTTTGAGGCCTATGGTGAAAAAGGAAATATCTTCACATAAAAACAAGGCAGAAGCATTCTGAGAAACTTCTTTTTGATGTCTGCATTCATCTCACAGAGTTGAACCTTTCTTTTGATTGTGCAGTTTTGAAACGCTCTATTTGTAGTATCTGCAAGTGGATATTTGGAACGCTTTGAGGCCTATAGTGGAAAAGGAAATATCTTCACATAAAAACCTAGAAAGAAGAATTCTGAGAAACTTCCTAGGAATGTGTGCTTTCATCTCACACTGTTGAACCTTTCTTTTGATTGAGCAGCTCCGATATAGTCGTTTAGTAAAATCTGAAAGAGAATATTTGAGAGCCCATTGCGGCCTCTAGGGAAATAGGAAGTATCTTCACCTAAAAACTAGACACAAACTTTCTGAGAAACTTCCTTGTGATATGTGCATTCGTCACACAGAGTTGAACTTCCTTTTGATTGGGCAGTTTGGAAACAGTCATTTGTATTATCTGTAAATGGATATTTGGAGTGTATTGAGGCCTGTGGTGAAAAACGAAATTTCTTCACATAAAAATCACATGGAAGCATTCTCAGAAACTCCCTTGTGATGTGTGCACTCATCTCACAGACTTCAAACTTTCTATTGATTGAGCAGTTTTGAAACACTCTTTTTGTAGAATCTGCAAGTGGATATTTGGAGCGCTCTGTGGCCCATAGTGGAAAAGGAAATATCTTCATAAAAAAAATAAACAGAAGCACTTTGAGAAACTTCTCTGTGTTGTATGCAGTCATATCTCAGACATGAAACTTTCTTTGGTACAGCAGTTTTAAAACACTCTTTTTGGAGATTCTGAAAGTAGATAATTGGAGAGACTTGAGGACTACGGTGGAAAAGGAAATATCTTCACAAAAATACTAGACAGAAACATTCTGAGAAGCTTCTTTGTGATGTGTGCGTCCATCTCGAAGAGTTGAACCTTTCTTTTGATTGAGTATTTTTGAAGCACTCTTTTTGTAGAATCTTCAAGTGGATATTTGGAGGGTTTGTGGCCTGTGGTGGAAAAGGAAATATATTCACATAAAAACTAGATAGAAGCATTCTGAGAAACTTCTTTGTGATGTGCTCATTCAATTCACAGAGTTGAGCTTTTCTTTTGATTGAGCAGTTTGGAATCAGTCTTTTTGTAGAATCTGCAAGTGGATATTTGGAGCGCATGACGGCCTATAGTGGAAAAGGAAATATATTCACATAAAAACTAGACAGAAGCATTCTGAGAAACTTTTTATGATGTGCTCATTCAACTCACAGAGTTGAACTTTTCTTTTGTTTGAGCAGTTTGCAAACAGTCTTTTTGTAGAATCTGCAAGTGGATATTAGGAGTGCATTACGGCCTATAGTGGAAAATGAAATAACTTCACATAAAAAATAGACAGAAACATTATGAGAAACTGCTCTGTGATGCGTGCATTCATCACCAGAGTTGAATTTCTCTTTTGATTGAACAGTTTTGAAACACTCTCTCTGTAGAATCTGAAAGGGATATTTGGAGCGCTTTGCAGCCTATGGTGAAAAAGGAAATATCTTCAAATAAAAGCTAGACAGAAGCATTCTAAGAAAGTGCATTATGACGTGTGCATTCATCTCACAGTGTTGAACCTTTCTTTTGATTGAGCAGTTTTGAAACACTCTTATTGTAGAATCTGCAAGTGGATATTTGCAGAGTTTGAGGCCACTGGTGGAAAAGCAAATATCTTCACATCAAAACTAGACAGAATCATTATAAGTAATCTCTTTGAGATGCGTGCATTCAACTCACAGAGTTGGACATTTCCTTTGATTGAGCAGTGTGGAAACAGTCTTTTTGCAGTATCTGCAAACGGATATTTGGAGCACTTTCAGGCCTATAGTAGGAAAGGAAATATCTTCACATAAAAACTAGACAGGAAATTACTGAGAAACTTCTTAATGATATGTGCATTCATCTCACAGAGTTGAAACTTCTTTTGATTGAGCAGTTTGGAAACACTCTTTTAGTAGAAACTGCAAGGGGATATTTGGAGCGTTTTGTGGTCTATGGTAGAAAAGGCTATATCTTCACATAAAAATAGAAGCATTCTGAGGAACTTCATGATGTGTGCATTCATCTCAAAGAGTTTAACTTGTCTTTTGACTGAGCAGCTTTGAAAAACTCTTTCTGCAGAATCTGCAAGTTGATATTTGGAGTGCTTTGTGGCCTATAGTAGAAAAGGAAATATCTTTACATAAAACTAGACAGAAGCATTCTGAGAAACTTCTTTGTGATGTGTGCATTCATCTCACAGAGTTGAATCTTTCTTTTGTTTGAGCAGTTTTGAAACTCTTTCTGTAGAATCTTCAAGTGGATATTTTCAGCGCTTTGAGGCCTATGGTGGAAAAGAAATTATCTTCACATAAAAACTAGTCAGAAGCATTCTGAGAAACTTCTTTGTGACGTGTGCATTCAACTCATGGAGTTCAACCTTTCTTTTGATTCAGCAGTTTGGAAACAGTCTTTTTACAGTATCTGCAAATGGCTATTTGGAGAGCTTTGAGGCCTATGGTGTAAAAGGAAATCTCTTCCCATAAAAACTAGACAGCAGCATTCTGAGAAACTTATTTGTGATCTGTGCATTCATCTCACAGAGTTGAACCTTTCTTTTGATTCAGCAGTTTTGAAACTGTCGTTTTGTAGAATCTGCAAAGGAATATTTGTGAGCCCATTGAGGCTTCCTGGGGTGATAGGAAATATCTTCACATAAAAACTAGACAGAAGTTTTGGAGAAATTTATTTTGATGTGTGCATTCATCTCACACAGTTGAAATTTTCTTTTGATTGAGCAGTGTGGATACACTCGTTTTGTAGAGTCTGCAAGTGGATATTTGGAGCACTTTGTGGCCTATAGTGAAAAAGGAAATATCTTCACATAAAAACTAGACAGAAGAATTCTGAGAAACTTCCTTTGAATGTGCGCATTTATCTCACAGTGTTGAACCTTTTTTTGATTGAGCAGCTTCTAAACAGTCATTTTGTAGAATATGCAAAGGAATATTTTTGAGCCCATTGATGCCTCTGGGGAAATAGGAAATATCTTCAAATAAAAACTAGACAGAATCTTTCTCAGAAACGTCTTGGTGATGTGTGCATTCATCTCACTGAGTTGAACTTTATTTTGATTGAGCAGTTTGGAAACAGTCTTTTCTAGTATCTGCAAATGGATATTTTAAGCACTCTGAGGCCTACGGTGAAAAAGGAAATATCTTCAATATAAACCAGACAGAAGCATTCATAGAAACTTCTTTGGGATGTGTACATTCATCTCACCGACTAGAACCTTTCTTTTGATTGAGCAGTTTTGAAACACTCTTTTAGCGGAATCTGCAAGTGTTTATTTGGAGCGCATGAGGAATATGGTGGAAAAGGAATCTTCTTCACATAAAAACGAGACGGAAGCATTCTTAGAAACTTCTCTGTGATGGATGCATTCATTTCACAGAGTTAAACCTTTCCTGTGATTGAGCGGTTTGGAAACAGTAGTTTTTTACAATCTGCAGAAGGATACTTGTGAGCCGATTGAGGTCTATGGGGTGATAAGAAATATGTTCACATAAAAACTAGATAGAAAGTTTCTGAGAAACTTCTTTGTGATATTTGCTTTTATCTCCTAGAGTTGAAACTTTCTTTTTATTGAGAAGTTTGGGAACAGTCTTTTTGTAGTATCTACAAATGGATATTACCAGTGCTTTGAGGCCTATGGTGGAAAAGGAAATATCTTCACATAAAAACAAGGCAGAAGCATTCTGAGAAACTTCTTTTTGATGTCTGCATTCATCTCACAGAGTTGAACCTTTCTTTTGATTGAGCAGTTTTGAAACGCTCTATTTGTAGTATCTGCAATTGGATATTTGGAACGCTTTGAGGCCTATAGTGGAAAAGGAAATATCTTCACATAAAAAACTAGAAAGAAGAATTCTGAGAAACTTCCTAGGAAGGTGTATTTTCGTCTCACACTGTTAAACCCGTCTTTTGATTGAGCAGCTTCGATACAGTCATTTAGTAGAATATGAAAGGGAATATTTGAGAGCCCATTGAGGCCTCTGGGGAAATAAGACATATCTTCACCTAAAAACTAGACAAAATCTTTCTGAGAAACACCCTTGTGATGTGTGCATTCATCATACACAGTTGAACTTTCTTTTGATTGAGCAGTTTGGATACAGTCATTTGTATTATCTGTAAATGGATATTTGGAGTGTACTGAGGCCTATGGTGAAAAAGGAAGTATCCTCACATAAAATTCAGATGGAAGCATTCTTAGAAACTCCTTTGTGATGTGTGCACTCATCTCACAGACTTCAAACTTTCTATTGATTGAGCAGTTTTGAAACACTCTTTTTGTAGAATCTGCCAGTGGATACTTGGAGCGCTCTGTGGCCCATAGTGGAAAAGGAAATATCTTCATAAAAAAAATAAACAGAAGCACTTTGAGAACTTTCTCTGGGTTGTATGCAGTCATATCTCAGACATGAAACTTTCTTTGGTACAGCAGTTTTAAAACACTCTTTTTGGAGATTCTGAAAGTAGATATTTGGAGAGACTTGAGGACTACGGTGGAAAAGGAAATATCTTCACAAAAAAACTAGACAGAAACATTCTGAGAAGCGTCTTTTTGATATGTGCATCCATCTCAAAGAGTTGAACCTTTCTTTTGATTGAGCATTTTTGAAGCACTCTTTTTGTAGAATCTTCAAGTGGATATTTGGAGAGTTTGTGGCCTGTGGTGGAAAAGGAAATATATTCACATAAAAACTAGATAGAAGCATTCTGAGAAACTTCTTTGTGATGTGCTCATTCAACTCACAGAGTTGAGCTTTTCTTTTGATTGAGCAGTTGGGAAACAGTCTTTTTGTAGAATCTGCAAGTGGATATTTGGAGCGCATTACGGCCTATAGTGGAAAAGGAAATATATTCACATAAAAACTAGACAGAAGCATTCTGAGAAACTTCTTTGTGATGTGCTCATTCAACTCACAGAGTTGAACTTTTCTTTTGTTTGAGCAGTTTGCAAACAGTCTTTTTGTAGAATCTGCAAGTGGATATTAGGAGTGCATTATGGCCTATAGTGGAGAATGAAATATCTTCACATAAAAACTAGACAGAAACATTATGAGAAACTGCTTTGTGATGTGTGCATTCATCACCAGAGTTGAGTTTCTCTTTTGATTGAACAGTTTTCAAACACTCTTTCTGTAGAATCTGAAAGGGATATTTGGAGCGCTTTGCAGCCTATGGTGAAAAAGGAAATATCTTCACATAAAAGCTAGACAGAAGCATTCTAAGAAAGTGCTTTGTGACGTGTGCATTCATCTCACAGTGTTGAAGCTTTCTTTTGATTGAGCAGTTTTGAAACACTCTTATTGTAGAATCTGCAAGTGGATATTTGGAGAGTTTGAGGTCACTGGTGGAAAAGCAAATATCTTCACATCAAAACTAGACAGAATCATTATAAGTAATCTCTTTGAGATGCGTGCATTCAACTCACAGAGTTGGACATTTCCTTTGATTGAGCAGTTTGGAAACAGTCTTTATGCAGTATCTGCAAACGGATATTTGGAGCACTTTCAGGCCTATAGTAGGAAAGGAAATATCTTCACATAAAAACTAGACAGCAAATTACTGAGACACTACTTAATGTTGTGTGCATTCATCTCACAGAGTTGAAACTTTCTTTTGATTGAGCCGTTTGGAAACACTCTTTTAGTAGAAACTGCAAGGGGATATTTGGAGCGTTTTGTGGTCTATGGTAGAAAAGGATATATCTTCACATAAAAATAGAAGCATTCTGAGGAACTTCATGATGTGTGCATTCATCTCAAAGAGTTGAACTTTTCTTTTGATTGAGCAGCTTTGAAAAACTCTTTCTGCAGAATCTGCAAGTTGATATTTGGAATGCTTTGTGGCCTATAGTAGAAAAGGAAATATCTTTACATAAAACTAGACAGAAGCATTCTGAGAAACTTCTTTGTGATGTGTGCATTCATCTCACAGAGTTGAATCTTTCTTTTGTTTGAGCAGTTTTGAAACTCTCTTTCTGTAGAATCTTCAAGTGAATATTTTCAGCGCTTTGAGGCCTATGGTGGAAAAGAAAATATCTTCACATAAAAACTAGTCAGAAGCATTCTGAGAAACTTCTTTGTGACGTGTGCATTCAACTCATGGAGTTCAACATTTCTTTTGATTCAGCAGTTTGGAAACAGACTTTTCACAGTATCTGCAAATGGATATTTGGAGAGCTTTGAGGCCTATGGTGGAAAAGGAAATCTCTTCCCATAAAAACTAGACAGCAGCATTGTGAGAAACTTATTTGTGATCTGTGCATTCATCTCACAGTGTTGAACCTTTCTTTTGATTCAGCAGTTTTGAAACTGTCGTTTTGTAGAATCTGCAAAGGAATATTTGTGAGCCCATTGAGGCTTCTGGGGTGATAGGAAATATCTTCACATAAAAACTAGACAGATACTTCCTGAGAAACTATTTTGTCATGTGTGACTTCTACTCACCGGGTTGAAACTTTCTCTTGATTGAGCAGTTTGGAAACAGTCTTTTTGTAGAATCTGCAAATTGATATTTGGAGTGCTTTTGGCCTACGTTGAAAAACGAAATATCTTCCCCTAAAAAGTAGGCAGAAGTTTTGGAGAAATTTATTTTGATGTGTGCGTTCATCTCACACAGTTGAAATTTTCTTTTGATTGAGCAGTGTGGATACACTCGTTTTGTAGAGTCTGCAAGTGGATATTTGGAGCACTTTGTGGCCTATAGTGAAAAAGGAAATATCTTCACATAAAAACTAGATAGAAGAATTCTGAGAAACTTCCTTTGAATGGGCGCATTCATCTCACACTGTTGAACTTTTTTTTTCATTGAGCACCTTCTAAACAGTCATTTTGTAGAATATGCAAAGGAATATTTGTGAGCCCATTGATGCCTCTGGGGAAACAGGAAATATCTTCACATAAAAACGAGACAGAATCTTTCTCAGAAACGTCTTGGTGATGTGTGCATTCATCTCACTGAGTTGAACTTTACTTTGATTGAGCAGTTTGGAAACAGTCTTTTCTAGTATATGCAAATGGATATTTTAAGCACTCTGAGGCCTACGGTGAAAAAGGAAATATCTTCAATATAAATCAGACAGAAGCATTCATAGAAACTTCTTTGTGATGTGTGCATTCATCTCACCGACTAGAACCTTTCTTTTGATTGAGCAGTTTTGAAACACTCTTTTAGCGGAATCTGCAAGTGTTTATTTGGAGCGCATGAGGAATATGGTGGAAAAGGAATCTTCTTCACATAAAAACGAGACGGAAGCATTCTGAGAAACTTCTCTGTGATGGATGCATTCATTTCACAGAGTTAAACCTTTCCTGTGATTGAGCGGTTTGGAAACAGTAGATGTTTATAATCTGCAGAAGGATACTTGTGAGCCGATTGAGGTCTATGGGGTGATAAGAAATATGTTCACATAAAAACTAGATAGAAAGTTTCTGAGAAACTTCTTTGTGATATTTGCTTTTATCTCATAGAGTTGAAACTTTCTTTTTATTGAGCAGTTTGGGAACAGTCTTTTTGTAGTATCTGCAAATGGATATTACCAGTTCTTTGAGGCCTGTGGTGAAAAAGGAAATATCTTCACATAAAAACAAGGCAGAAGCATTCTGAGAAACTTCTTTGTGATGTCTGCATTCATCTCACAGAGTTGAACCTTTCTTTTGATTGAGCAGTTTTGAAACGCTCTATTTGTAGTATCTGCAAGTGGATATTTGGAACGATTTGAGGCCTATTGTCGAAAAGGAAATATCTTCACATAAAAAACTAGAAAGAAGAATTCTGAGAAACTTCCTAGGAAGGTGTATTTTCGTCTCACACTGTTAAACCCGTCTTTTGATTGAGCAACTTCGATACAGTCATTTAGTAGAATATAAAAGGGAATATTTGAGAGCCCATTGAGGCCTCTGGGGAAAAAAGAAATATCTTCACCTAAAAACTAGACAAAATCTTTCTGAGAAACACCCTTGTGATGTGTGCATTCATCATACACAGTTGAACTTTCTTTTGATTGAGCAGTTTGGATACAGTCATTTGTATTATCTGTAAATGGATGTTTGGAGTGTACTGAGGCCTATGGTGAGAAAGGAAATATCCTCACATAAAATTCAGATGGAAGCATTCTTAGAAACTCCTTTGTGATGTGTGCATTCATCTCACAGACTTCAAACTTTCTATAGATTGAGCAGTTTTGAAACACTCTTTTTGTAGAATCTGCCAGTGGATATTTGGAGCGCTCTGTGGCCCATAGTGGAAAAGGAAATATCTTCATAAAAAAAATAAACAGAAGCACTTTGAGAAACTTCTCTGTGTTGTATGCAGTCATATCTCAGACATGAAACTTTCTTTGGTACAGGAGTTTTAAAACACTCTTTTTGGAGATTCTGAAAGTAGATATTTGGAGAGACTTGAGGACTACGGTGGAAAAGGAAATATCTTCACAAAAAAACTAGACAGAAACATTCTGAGAAGCTTCTTTGTGATGTGTGCATCCATCTCAAAGAGTGGAACCTTTCTTTTGATTGAGCATTTTTGAAGCACTCTTTTTGTAGAATCTTCAAGTGGATATTTGGAGTGTTTGTGGCCTGTGGTGGAAAAGGAAATATATTCACATAAAAACTAGATAGAAGCATTCTGAGAAACTTCTTTCTGATGTGCTCATTCAACTCACAGAGTTGAGCTTCTCTTTTGATTGAGCAGTTTGGAAACAGTCTTTTTGTAGAAACTGCAAGTGGATATTTGGAGCGCATTACGGCCTATAGTGGAAAAGGAAATATATTCACATAAAAACTAGACAGAAGCATTCTGAGAAACTTCTTTGTGATGTGCTCATTCAACTCACAGAGTTGAACTTTTCTTTTGTTTGAGCAGTTTGCAAACAGTCTTTCTGTAGAATCTGCAAGTGGATATTAGGAGTGCATTACGGCCTATAGTGGAAAAGGAAATATCTTCACATAAAAACTAGACAGACAAACATGATGAGAAACTGCTTTGTGATGCGTGCATTCATCACCAGAGTTGAGTTTCTCTTTTGATTGAACAGTTTTGAAACACTCTTTCTGTAGAATCTGAAAGGGATATTTGGAGCGCTTTGCAGCCTATGGTGAAAAAGGAAATATCTTCACATAAAAGCTAGACAGAAGCATTCTAAGAAAGTGCATTGTGACGTGTGCATTCATCTCACAGTGTTGAACCTTTCTTTTGATTGAGCAGTTTTGAAACACTCTTATTGTAGAATCTGCAAGTGGATATTTGCAGAGTTTGAGGCCACTGGTGGAAAAGCAAATATCTTCACATCAAAACTAGACAGAACCATTCTGAGAAATCTCTTTGAGATGCGTGCATTCAACTCATAGAGTTGGACCTTTCCTTTGATTGAGCAGTTTGGAAGCAGTCTTTTTGCAGTATCTGCAAATGGATATTTGGAGCACTTTCAGGCCTATAGTAGGAAAGGAAATATCTTCAAATAAAAACTAGACAGAAAATTACTGAGAAACTTCTTAATGATGTGTGCATTCATCTCACAGAGTTGAAACTTTCCTTTGATTGAGCAGTTTGGAAACACTCTTTTAGTAGAAACTGCAAGGGGATATTTGGAGCGTTTTATGGTCTATGGTAGAAAAGGTTATCTTCACATAAAAATAGAAGCATTCTGAGGAACTTCCTGATGTGTGCATTCATCTCAAAGAGTTGAACTTTTCTTTTGATTGAGCAGCTTTGAAAAACTCTTTCTGCAGAATCTGCAAGTTGATATTTGGAGTGCTTTGTGGCCTATAGTAGAAAAGGAAATATCTTTACATAAAACTAGACAGAAGCATTCTGAGAAATTTCTTTCTGATGTGTGCATTCATCTCACGAAGTTGAACCATTCTTTTAATTGAGCAGTTTTGAAACACACTTTTTGCAGTATCTTCAAGTGGATATTTGTAGAGCTTTGAGGCCTATGGTAGAAAAGGAAACATTGTCACATAAAAACTAGACAGAAGCATTCTGAGAAACTTCTTTGTGACGTGTGCATTCAACTCATGGAGTTCAACCTTTCTTTTGATTCAGCAGTTTGGAAACAGTCTTTTTACAGTATCTGCAAATGGCTATTTGTAGAGCTTTGAGGCCTATGGTGGAAAAGGAATTATCTTCCCATAAAAACTAGACAGCAGCATTCTGAGGAACTTATTTGTGATCTGTGCATTCATCTCCCAGAGTTGAACCTTTCTTTTGATTCAGCAGTTTTGAAACTGCCTTTTTGTAGAATCTGCAAAGGAATATTTGTGAGCCCATTGAGGCTTCTGGGGTGATAGGAAATATCTTCACGTAAAAACTAGACAGATACTTTCTGAGAAACTATTTTGTCATGTGTGACTTCAACTCACCGAGTTGAAACTTTCTCTTGATTGAGCAGTTTGGAAACAGTCTTTTTGTAGAATCTGCAAATTGATATTTGGAGCGCATTTGGCCTATGTTGAAAAACGAAATATCTTCCCATAAAAAGTAGGCAGAAGTTTTGGAGAAATTTATTTGTGATGTGTGCATTCATCTCACACAGTTGAAATTTTCTTTTGATTGAGCAGTGTGGATACACTCTTTTTGTAGAGTCTGCAAGTGGATATTTGGAGCACTTTGTGGCCTATAGTGAAAAAGGAAATATCTTCACATAAAAACTAGACAGAAGAATTCTGAGAAACTGCCTTTGAATGGGCGCATTCATCTCACACTGTTGAACTTTTTTTTTGATTGAGCACCTTCTAAACAGTCATTTTGTAGAATATGCAAAGGAATATTTGTGAGCCCATTGATGCCTCTGGGGAAACAGGAAATATCTTCACATAAAAACGAGACAGAATCTTTCTCAGAAACGTCTTGGTGATGTGTGCATTCATCTCACTGAGTTGAACTTTACTTTGATTGAGCAGTTTGGAAACAGTCTTTACTAGTATCTGCAAATGGATATTTTAAGCACTCTGAGGCCTACGGTGAAAAAGGAAATATCTTCAATACAAATCAGACAGAAGCATTCATAGAAACTTCTTTGTGATGTGTGCATTCATCTCACCGACTAGAACCTTTCTTTTGATTGAGCAGTTTTGAAACACTCTTTTAGCGGAATCTGCAAGTGTTTCTTTGGAGCGCATGAGGAATATGGTGGAAAAGGAATCTTCTTCACATGAAAACGGACGGAAGCATTCTCAGAAACTTCTCTGTGATGGATGCATTCATTTCACAGAGTTAAACCTTTCCTGTGATTGAGCGGTTGAGAAAGAGTAGTTTTTTACAATCTGCAGAAGGATACTTGTGAGCCGATTGAGGTCTATGGGGTGATAAGAAATATGTTCACATAAAAACTAGATAGAAAGTTTCTGAGAAACTTCTTTGTGATATTTGCTTTTATCTCCTAGAGTTGAAACTTTCTTTTTATTGAGCAGTTTGGGGACAGTCTTTTTGTAGTATCTGCAAATGGATATTACCAGTGCTTTGAGGCCTATGGTGGAAAAGGAAATATCTTCACATAAAAACAACGCGGAAGCATTCTGAGAAACTTCTTTTTGATGTCTGCATTCATCTCACAGAGTTGAACCTTTCTTTTGATTGAGCAGTTTTGAAACGCTCTATTTGTGGTATCTGCAAGTGGATATTTGGAACGCTTTGAGGCCTATAGTGGAAAAGGAAATATCTTCACATAAAAAACTAGAAAGAAGAATTCTGAGAAACTTCCTAGGAAGGTGTATTTTCGTCTCACACTGTTAAACCCGTCTTTTGATTGAGCAGCTTCGATACAGTCATTTAGTAGAATATGAAAGGGAATATTTGAAAGCCCATTGAGGCCTCTGGGGAAATAAGAAATATCTTCACCTAAAAACAAGACAAAATCTTTCTGAGAAACACCCTTGTGATGTGTGCATTCATCATACAGAGTTGAACTTTCTTTTGATTGAGCAGTTTGGATACAGTCATTTGTATTATCTGTAAATGGATATTTGGAGTGTACTGAGGCCTATGGTGAAAAAGGAAATATCCTCACATAAAATTCAGATGGAAGCATATTGAGAAACTTCTCTGTGATGTGTCCATTCATCTCATAGAGTAAAATCTTCCTTTTGATTGAGCAGGTTTGAAACACTCTTTTTGTAGAATCTGCAAGTGGATATTTGGAGCGCTCTGTGGCCCATAGTGGAAAAGGAAATATCTTCATAAGAAAAATAAACAGAAGCACTTTGAGAAAGTTCTCTGTGTTGTATGCAGTCATATCTCAGACATGAAACTTTCTTTGGTACAGCAGTTTTAAAACACTCTTTTTGGAGATTCTGAAAGTAGATATTTGGAGAGACTTGAGGACTACGGTGGAAAAGGAAATATCTTCACAAAAAAACTAGACAGAAACATTCTGAGAAGCTTCTTTGTGATGTGTGCGTCCATCTCGAAGAGTTGAACCTTTCTTTTGATTGAGCATTTTTGAAGCACTTTTTTTGTAGAATCTTCAAGTGGTTATTTGGAGTGTTTGTGGTCTCTGGTGGAAAAGGAAATATATTCACATAAAAACTAGATAGAAGCATTCTGAGAAACTTTTTTGTGATGTGCTCATTCAACTCACAGAGTTGAGATTTTCTTTTGATTGAGCAGTTTGGAAACAGTCTTTTTGTAGAATCTGCCAGTGGATATTTGGAGCGCATGACGGCCTATAGTGGAAAAGGAAATATATTCACATGAAAACTAGACAGAAGCATTCTGAGAAACTTCTTTGTGATGTGCTCATTCAACTCACAGAGTTGAGCTTTTCTTTTGATTGAGCAGTTTGGAAACAGTCTTTTTGTAGAATCTGCAAGTGGATATTTGGAGCGCATGACGGCCTTTAGTGGAAAAGGAAATATATTCACATAAAAACTAGACAGAAACATGATGAGAAACTGCTTTGTGATGCGTGCATTCATCACCAGAGTTGAGTTTCTCTTTTGATTGAACAGTTTTGAAACACTCTTTCTGTAGAATCTGAAAGGGATATTTGGAGCGCTTTGCAGCCTATGGTGAAAAAGGAAATATCTTCACATAAAAGATAGACAGAAAGCATTCTGAGAAAGTGCTTTGTGAGGTGTACATTCATCTCACAGAAGTTAAACCTTTCTTTTGATTGAGCAGTTTTGAAACACTCTTATTGTACAATCTGCAAGTGGATATTTGGAGAGTTTGAGGCCACTGGTGGAAAAGCAAATATCTTCACATAAAAACTAGACAGAATCATTAGAAGTAATCTCTTTGAGATGCGTGCATTCAACTCACAGAGTTGGACATTTCCTTTGATTGAGCAGTGTGGAAACAGTCTTTTTGCAGTATCTGCAAACGGATATTTGCAGCACTTTCAGGCCTATAGTAGGAAAGGAAATATCTTCACATAAAAACTAGACAGAAAATTACTGAGAAACTCCTTAATGATGTGTGCATTCATCTCACAGAGTTGAAACTTTCTTTCCATTGAGCCGTTTGGAAACACTCTTTTAGTAGAAACTGCAAGGGGATATTTGGAGCGTTTTGTGGTCTATGGTAGAAAAGGATATATCTTCACATAAAAATAGAAGCATTCTGAGGAACTTCATGATGTGTGCATTCATCTCAAAGTGTTGAACTTTTCTTTTGATTGAGCAGCTTTGAAAAACTCTTTCTGCAGAATCTGCAAGTTGATATTTGGAGTGCTTTGTGGCCTAGAGTAGAAAAGGAAATATCTTTACATAAAACTAGACAGAAGCATTCTAAGAAAGTGCTTTGTGAAGTGTGCATTCATCTCACAGAGTTGAATCATTCTTTTGTTTGACCAGTTTTGAAACTCTCTTTCTGTAGAATCTTCAAGTGGATATTTTCAGCGCTTTGAGGCCTATGGTGGAAAAGAAAATATCTTCACATAAAAACTAGTCAGAAGCTTTCTGAGAAACTTCTTTGTGATGTGTGCATTCAACTCATGGAGTTGAACCTTTCCTTTGATTCAGCAGTTTGGAAACAGTCTTTTTGTAGTATCTGCAAATGGATATTTGGAGAGCTTTGAGGCCTATGGTGGAAAAGAAAATATCTTCACATAAAAACTAGACAGATACATCCTGAGAAACTATTTTGTCATGTGTGACTTCTACTCACCGGGTTGAAACTTTCTCTTGATTGAGCAGTTTGGAAACAGTAGTTTTTTACAGTCTGCAGAAGGATACTTGTGAGCCGATTGAGGTCTATGGGGTGATAGGAAATATGTTCACATAAAAACTAGATAGAAGTTTTGTAAAAATTTATTTAGATGTGTGCATTCATCTCACACAGTTGAAATTTTCTTTTGATTGGGCAGTGTGGATACACTCGTTTTGTAGGGTCTACAAGTGGATATTTGGAGCACTTTGTGGCCTATAGTGAAAAAGGAAATATCTTCACATAAAAACTAGATAGAAGAATTCTGAGAAACTTCCTTTGAATGGGCGCATTCATCTCACACTGTTGAACTTTTTTTTTGATTGAGCACCTTCTAAACAGTCATTTTGTAGAATATGCAAAGGAATATTTGTGAGCCCATTGATGCCTCTGCGGAAACAGGAAATATCTTCACATAAAAACGAGACAGAATCTTTCTCAGAAACGTCTTGGTCATGTTTGCATTCATCTCACTGAGTTGAACTTTATTTTGATTGAGCAGTTTGGAAAGTGTCTTTTCTAGTATCTGCAAATGGATATTTTAAGCACTCTGAGGCCTACGGTGAAAAAGGAAATATCTTCAATATAAATCAGACAGAAGCATTCATAGAAACTTCTTTGTGATGTGTGCATTCATCTCACCGACTAGAACCTTTCTTTTGATTGAGCAGTTTTGAAACACTCTTTTAGCGGAATCTGCAAGTGTTTCTTTGGAGCGCATGAGGAATATGGTGGAAAAGGAATCTTCTTCACATGAAAACGAGACGGAAGCATTCTGAGAAACTTCTCTGTGATGGATGCATTCATTTCACAGAGTTAAACCTTTCCTGTGATTGAGCGGTTTGGAAACAGTAGTTTTTTACAGTCTGCAGAAGGATACTTGTGAGCCGATTGAGGTCTATGGGATGATAAGAAATATGTTCACATAAAAACTAGATAGAAAGTTTCTGAGAAACTTCTTTGTGATATTTGCTTTTATCTCCTAGAGTTGAAACTTTCTTTTTATTGAGCAGTTTGGGAACAGTCTTTTTGTAGTATCTGCAAATGGATATTACCAGTGCTTTGAGGCCTATGGTGAAAAAGGAAATATCTTCTCATAAAAACAAGGCAGAAGCATTCTGAGAAACTTCTTTTTGATGTCTGCATTCATCTCACAGAGTTGAACCTTTCTTTTGATTGAGCAGTTTTGAAACGCTCTATTTGTAGTATCTGCAAGTGGATATTTGGAACGCTTTGAGGCCTATAGTGGAAAAGGAAATATCTTCACATAAAAAACTAGAAAGAAGAATTCTGAGAAACTTCCTAGGAAGGTGTATTTTCGTCTCACACTGTTAAACCCGTCTTTTGATTGAGCAGCTTCGATACACTCATTTAGTAGAATATGAAAGGGAATACTTGAGAGCCCATTGAGGCCTCTGGGGAAATAAGAAATATCTTCACCTAAAAACTAGACAAAATCTTTCTGAGAAACACCCTTGTGATGTGTGCATTCATCATGCACAGTTGAACTTTCTTTTGATTGAGCAGTTTGGATACAGTCATTTGTATTATCTGTAAATGGATATTTGGAGTGTACTGAGGCCTATGGTGAAAAAGGAAATATCCTCACATAAAATTCAGATGGAAGCATTCTTAGAAACTCCTTTGTGATGTGTGCATTCATCTCACAGACTTCAAACTTTCTATAGATTGAGCAGTGTTGAAACACTCTTTTTGTAGAATCTGCCAGTGGATATTTGGAGCGCTCTGTGGCCAATAGTGGAAAAGGAAATATCTTCATAAAAAAAATAAACAGAAGCACTTTGAGAAAGTTCTCTGTGTTGTATGCAGTCATAAAATCAGACATGAAACTTTCTTTGGTACAGCAGTTTTGAAACACTCTTTTTGGAGATTCTGAAAGTAGATATTTGGAGAGACTTGAGGACTACGGTGGAAAAGGAAATATCTTCACAAAAAAACTAGACAGAAACATTCTGAGAAGCTTCTTTGTGATGTGTGCGTCCATCTCGAAGAGTTGAACCTTTCTTTTGATTGAGCATTTTTGAAGCACTCTTTTTGTAGAATCTTCAAGTGGATATTTGGAGGGTTTGTGGCCTGTGGTGGAAAAGGAAATATATTCACATAAAAACTAGATAGAAGCATTCTGAGAAACTTCTTTGTGATGTGCTCATTCAACTCACAGAGTTGAGCTTTTCTTTTGATTGAGCAGTTTGGAAACACTCTTTTTGTAGAATCTGCAGGTGGATATTTGGAGCGCATTATGGCCTATAGTGGAAAAGGAAATATATTCACATAAAAACTAGACAGAAGCATTCTGAGAAACTTCTTTGTGATGTGCTCATTCAACTCACAGAGTTGAACTTTTCTTTTGTTTGAGCAGTTTGCAAACAGTCTTTCTGTAGAATCTGCAAGTGGATATTAGGAGTGCCTTACGGCCTATAGTGGAAAATGAAATATCTTCACATAAAAACTAGACAGAAACATTATGAGAAACTGCTTTGTGATGCGTGCATTCATCACCAGAGTTGAGTTTCTCTTTTGATTGAACAGTTTTGAAACACTCTTTCTGTAGAATCTGAAAGGGATATTTGCAGCGCTTTGCAGCCTATGGTGAAAAAGGAAATATCTTCACATAAAAGCTAGACAGAAGCATTCTAAGAAAGTGCTTTGTGACGTGTGCATTCATCTCACAGTGTTGAACCTTTCTTTTGATTAAGCAGTTTTGAAACACTCTTATTGTAGAATCTGCAAGTGGATATTTGGAGAGTTTGAGGCCACTGGTGGAAAAGCAAATATCTTCACATCAAAACTAGACAGAATCATTATAAGTAATCTCTTTGAGATGCGTGCATTCAACTCACAGAGTTGGACATTTCCTTTGATTGAGCAGTTTGGAAACAGTCTTTTTGCAGTATCTGCAAACGGATATTTGGAGCACTTTCAGGCCTATAGTAGGAAAGGAAATATCTTCACATAAAAACTAGACACAAAATTACTGAGAAACTTCTTAATGATGTGTGCATTCATCTCACAGAGTTGAAACTTTCTTTTGATTGAGCCGTTTGGAAACACTCTTTTAGTAGAAACTGCAAGGGGATATTTGGAGAGTTTTGTGGTCTATGGTAGAAAACGATATATCTTCACATAAAAATAGAAGCATTCTGAGGAACTTCATGATGTGTGCATTCATCTCAAAGAGTTGAACTTTTCTTTTGATTGAGCAGCTTTGAAAAACTCTTTCTGCAGAATCTGCAAGTTGATATTTGGAGTGCTTTGTGGCCTATAGTAGAAAAGGAAATATCTTTACTTAAAACTAGACAGAAGCATTCTGAGAAACTTCTTTGTGATGTGTGCATTCATCTCACAGAGTTGAATCTTTCTTTTGTTTGAGCAGTTTTGAAACTCTCTTTTTGTAGAATCTTCAAGTGGATATTTTCAATGCTTTGAGGCTTATGGTGGAAAAGAAAATATCTTCACATAAAAACTAGCCAGAAGCATTCTGGGAAATTTTTGTGACGTGTGCATTCAACTCATGGAGTTCAACCTTTCTTTTGATTCAGCAGTTTGGAAACAGTCTTTTTACAGTATCTGCAAATGGCTATTTGGAGAGCTTTGAGGCCTATGGTGGAAAAGGAAATATCTTCCCATAAAAAGTAGACAGCAGCATTCTGAGAAACTCATTTGTGATCTGTGCATTCATCTCCCAGAGTTGAACCTTTCTTTTGATTCAGCAGTTTTGAAACTGTCGTTTTGTAGAATCTGCAAAGGAATATTTGTGAGCCCATTGAGGCTTCTGGGGTGATAGGAAATATCTTCACGTAAAAACTAGACAGATACTTTCTGAGAAACTATTTTGTCATGTGTGACTTCTACTCACCGGGTAGAAACTTTCTCTTGATTGAGCAGTTTGGAAACAGTCTTTTTGTAGAATCTGCAAATTGATATTTGGAGCGCTTTTGGCCTACGTTGAAAAACGAAATATCTTCCCATAAAAAGTAGGCAGAAGTTTTGGAGAAATTTATTTTGATGTGTGCATTCATCTCACACAGTTGAAATTTTCTTTTGATTGGGCAGTGTGGATACACTCGTTTTGTAGAGTCTGCAAGTGGATATTTGGAGCACTTTGTGGCCTATAGTGAAAAAGGAAATATCTTCACATAAAAACTAGATAGAAGAATTCTGAGAAACTTCCTTTGAATGTGTGCATTCATCTCACAGTGTTGAACTTTTTTCTTGATTGAGCAGCTTCTAAACAGTCATTTTGTAGAATATGCAAAGGAATATTTGTGAGCCCATTGATGCCTCCTGGGGAAATAGGAAATATCTTCAAATAAAAACTAGACAGAATCTTTCTCAGAAACGTCTTGGTGATGTGTGCATTTATCTCACTGAGTTGAACTTTACTTTGATTGAGCAGTTTGGAAACAGTGTTTTCTAGTATCTGCAAATGGATATTTTAAGCACTCTGAGGCCTACGGTGAAAAAGGAAATATCTTCAATATAAATCAGACAGAAGCATTCATAGAAACTTCTTTGTGATGTGTGCATTCATCTCACTGACTAGAACCTTTCTTTTGATTGAGCAGTTTTGAAACACTCTTTTAGCGGAATCTGCAAGTGTTTCTTTGGAGCGCATGAGGAATATGGTGGAAAAGGAATCTTCTTCACATGAAAACGGACGGAAGCATTCTGAGAAACTTCTCTGTGATGGATGCATTCATTTCACAGAGTTAAACCTTTCCTGTGATTGAGCGGTTTGGAAACAGTAGTTTTTTACAGTCTGCAGAAGGATACTTGTGAGCCGATTGAGGTCTATGGGGTGATAAGAAATATGTTCACATAAAAACTAGATAGAAAGTTTCTGAGAAACTTCTTTGTGATATTTGCTTTTATCTCATAGAGTTGAAACTTTCTTTTTATTGAGCAGTTTGGGAACAGTCTTTTTGTAGTATCTGCAAATGGATATTGCCAGTGCTTTGAGGCCTATGGTGAAAAAGGAAATATCTTCACATAAAAACAAGGCAGAAGCATTCTGAGAAACTTCTTTTTGATGTCTGCATTCATCTCGCAGAGTTGAACCTTTCTTTTGATTGAGCAGTTTTGAAACGCTCTATTTGTAGTATCTGCAAGTGGATATTTGGAACGCTTTGAGGCCTATAGTGGAAAAGGAAATATCTTCACATAAAAAACTAGAAAGAAGAATTCTGAGAAACATCCTAGGAAGGTGTATTTTCGTCTCACACTGTTAAACCCGTCTTTTGATTGAGCAGCTTCGATACAGTCATTTAGTAGAATATGAAAGGGAATATTTGAGAGCCCATTGAGGCCTCTGGGGAAATAAGAAATATCTTCACCTAAAAACTAGACAAAATCTTTCTGAGAAACACCCTTGTGATGTGTGCATTCATCATACACAGTTGAACTTTCTTTTGATTGAGCAGTTTGGATACAGTCATTTGTATTATCTGTAAATGGATATTTGGAGTGTACTGAGGCCTATGGTGAAAAAGGAAATATCCTCACATAAAATTCAGATGGAAGCATTCTCAGAAACTCCCTTGTGATGTGTGCATTCATCTCACAGACTTCAAACTTTCTATTGATTGAGCAGTTTTGAAACACTCTTTTTGTAGAATCTGCAAGTGGATATTTGGAGCGCTCTGTGGCCCATAGTGGAAAAGGAAATATCTTCATAAAAAAAATAAAAAGAAGCACTTTGAGAAAGTTCTCTGTGTTGTATGCAGTCATATCTCAGACATGAAGCTTTCTTTGGTACAGCAGTTTTAAAACACTCTTTTTGGAGATTCTGAAAGTAGATATTTGGAGAGACTTGAGGACTACGTTGGAAAAGGAAATATCTTCACAAAAAAACTAGACAGAAACATTCTGAGAAGCTTCTTTGTGATGTGTGCATCCATCTCAAAGAGTTGAACCTTTCTTTTGATTGAGCATTTTTGAAGCACTCTTTTTGTAGAATCTTCAAGTGGATATTTGGAGTGTTTGTGGCCTGTGGTGGAAAAGGAAATATATTCACATAAAAACTAGATAGAAGCATTCTGAGAAACTTCTTTGTGATGTGCTCATTCAACTCACAGAGTTGAGCTTTTCTTTTGATTGAGCAGTTTGGAAACAGTCTTTTTGTAGAATCTGCACGTGGATATTTGGAGCGCATGACGGCCTATAGTGGAAAAGGAAATATATTCACATAAAAACTAGACAGAAGCATTCTGAGAAACTTCTTTGTGATGTGCTCATTCAACTCACAGAGTTGAACTTTTCTTTTGTTTGAGCAGTTTGCAAACAGTCTTTTTGTAGAATCTGCAAGTGGATATTAGGAGTGCATTACGGCCTATAGTGGAGAATGAAATATCTTCACATTAAAACTAGACAGAAACATTATGAGAAACTGCTTTGTGATGTGTGCATTCATCACCAGAGTTGAGTTTCTCTTTTGATTGAACAGTTTTCAAACACTCTTTCTGTAGAATCTGAAAGGGATATTTGGAGCGCTTTGCAGCCTATGGTGAAAAAGGAAATATTTTCACATAAAAGCTAGACAGAAGCATTCTAAGAAAGTGCTTTGTGATGTGTGCATTCATCTCACAGTGTTGAACCTTTCTTTTGAATGAGCAGTTTTGAAACACTCTTATTGTAGAATCTGCAAGTGGATATTTGGAGAGTTTGAGGCCACTGGTGGAAAAGCAAATATCTTCACATCAAAACTAGACAGAATCATTATAAGTAATCTCTTTGAGATGCGTGCATTCAACTCACAGAGTTGGACGTTTCCTTTGATTGAGCAGTTTGGAAACAGTCTTTTTGCAGTATCTGCAAGCGGATATTTGGAGCACTTTCAGGCCTATAGTAGGAAAGGAAATATCTTCACATAAAAACTAGACAGAAGCATTCTGAGAAACTTCTTTGTGATGTGTGCATTCATCTCACAAAGTTGAAACTTTCTTTTGATTGAGCCGTTTGGAAACACTATTTTAGTAGAAACTGCAAGGGGATATTTGGAGCGTTTTGTGGTCTATGGTAGAAAAGGATATATCTTCACATAAAAATAGAAGCATTCTGAGGAACTTCCTGATGTGTGCATTCATCTCAAAGAGTTGAACTTTTCTTTTGATTGAGCAGCTTTGAAAAACCCTTTCTGCAGAATCTGCAAGTTGATATTTGGAGCGCTTTGTGGCCTATAGTAGAAAAGGAAATATCTTTACTTAAAACTAGACAGAAGCATTCTGAGAAACTTCTTTGTGATGTGTGCACTCATGTCACAGAGTTGAAACTTTCTTTTGTTTGAGCAGTTTTGAAACTCTCTTTTTGTAGAATCTTCAAGTGTATATTTTTAGCACTTTGAGGCCTATGGTGGAAAAGAAAATGTCTTCACATAAAAACTAGTCAGAAGCATTCTGAGAAACTTCTTTGTGACGTGTGCATTCAACTCATGGAGTTCAACCTTTCTTTTGATTCAGCAGTTTGGAAACAGTCTTTTTACAGTATCTGCAAATGGCTATTTGGAGAGCTTTGACACCTATGGTGGAAAAGGAAATCTCTTCTCATAAAAACTAGACAGCTACTTTCTGAGAAACTATTTTGTCGTGTGTGACTTCTACTCACCGGGTTGAAACTTTCTCTTGATTGAGCAGTTTGGAAACAGTCTTTTTGTAGAATCTGCAAATTGATATTTGGAGTGCTTTTGGCCTACGTTGAAAAACGAAATATCTTCCCATAAAAAGTAGGCAGAAGTTTTGGAGAAATTTATTTTGATGTGTGCATTCATCTCGCACAGTTGAAATTTTCTTTTGATTGAGCAGTGTGGATACATTCGTTTTGTAGAGTCTGCAAGTGGATATTTGGAGCACTTTGTGGCCTACAGTGAAAAAGGAAATATCTTCACATAAAAACTAGATAGAAGAATTCTGAGAAACTTCCGTTGAATGGGCGCATTCATCTCACACTGTTGAACTTTTTTTTTGATTCAGCACCTTCTAAACAGTCATTTTGTAGAATATGCAAAGGAATATTTGTGAGCCCATTGATGCCTCTGGGGAAACAGGAAATATCTTCACATAAAAACGAGACAGAATCTTTATCAGAAACGTCTTGGTGATGTGTGCATTCATCTCACTGAGTTGAACTTTAATTTGATTGAGCAGTTTGGAAACAGTCTTTTCTAGTATCTGCAAATGGATATTTTAAGCACTCTAAGGCCTACGGTGAAAAAGGAAATATCTTCAATATAAATCAGACAGAAGCATTCATAGAAACTTCTTTGTGATGTGTGCATACATCTCACCGACTAGAACCTTTCTTTTCATTGAGCAGTTTTGAAACACTCTTTTAGCGGAATCTGCAAGTGTTTATTTGGAGCGCATGAGGAATATGGTGGAAAAGGAATCTTCTTCACATAAAAACGAGACGGAAGCATTCTGAGAAACTTCTCTGTGATGGATGCATTCATTTCACAGAGTTAAACCTTTCCTGTGATTGAGCGGTTTGGAAACAGTAGTTTTTTACAATCTGCAGAAGGATACTTGTGAGCTGATTGAGGTCTATGGGGTGATAAGAAATATGTTCACATAAAAACTAGATAGAAAATTTCTGAGACACTTCTTTGTGATATTTGCTTTCATCTCACAGAGTTAAAACTTTCTTTTGATTGAGCAGTTTGGGAAAAGTCTTTTTGTAGTATCTGGAAATGGATATTACCAGTGCTTTGAGACCTATGGTGAAAAAGGAAATATCTTCCCATAAATACAAGGCAGAAACTTTCTGAGAAACTTCTTTCTGATGTGTGCTTTCATCTCACAGATTTGAACTTTTCTTTTGATTGAGCAGTTTTGAAACAGTCTTTTTGTACAATCTGCAAGTGGATATTTGGGGCACTTTCAGGCCTATGGGGGAAAAGGACACATCTTCCAATAAAAACTAGACAGCAGAGTTCTGAGAAACTTCCTAGGAATGTGTGCTTTCTTCTCACACTGTTGAACCTTTCTTTTGATTGAGCAGCTTCGATACAGTCATTTAGTAGAATCTGAAAGAGAATATTTGCGAGCCCATTGAGGCCTCTTGGAAAGTAGGAAATATCTTCACCTAAAAACTAGACAAAAACTTTCTGAGAAACACCCTTGTGTTGTGTGCATTCATCATACACAGTTGAACTTTCTTTTGATTGAGCAGTTTGGATACAGTCATTTGTATTATCTGTAAATGGGTATTTGGAGTGTACTGAGGCCTATGGTGAAAAAGGAAATATCCTCACATAAAATTCAGATGGAAGCATATTGAGAAACTTCTCTGTGATGTGTCCATTCATCTCATAGAGTAAAATCTTCCTTTTGATTGAGCAGGTTTGAAACACTCTTTTTGTAGAATCTGCAAGTGGATATTTGGAGCGCTCTGTGGCCCATAGTGGAAAAGGAAATATCTTCATAAAAAAAATAAACAGAAGCACTTTGAGAAACTTCTCTGTGTTGTATGCAGTCATATCTCAGACATGAAAATTTCTTTGGTACAGCAGTTTTAAAACACTCTTTTTGGAGATTCTGAAAGTAGATATTTGGAGAGACTTGAGGACTACGGTGGAAAAGGAAACATCTTCACAAAAAAACTAGACAGAAACATTCTGAGAAGCTTCTTTGTGATGTGTGCGTCCATCTCGAAGAGTTGAACCTTTCTTTTGATTGAGCATTTTTGAAGCACTTTTTTTGTAGAATCTTCAAGTGGTTATTTGGAGTGTTTGTGGCCTCTGGTGGAAAAGGAAATATATTCACATAAAAACTAGATAGAAGCATTCTGAGAAACTTCTTTGTGATGTGCTCATTCAACTCACAGAGTTGAGCTTTTCTTTTGATTGAGCAGTTTGGAAACAGTCTTTTTGTAGAATCTGCAAGTGGATATTTGGAGCGCATGACGGCCTATAGTGGAAAAGGAAATATATTCACATAAAAACTAGACAGAAGCATTCTGAGAAACTTCTTTGTGATGTGCTCATTCAACTCACAGAGTTGAACTTTTCTTTTGTTTGAGCAGTTTGCAAACAGTCTTTTTGTAGAATCTGCAAGTGGATATTAGGAGTGCATTACGGCCTATAGTGGAAAATGAAATAACTTCACATAAAAAATAGACAGAAACATGATGAGAAACTGCTTTGTGATGCGTGCATTCATCACCAGAGTTGAGTTTCTCTTTTGATTGAACAGTTTTGAAACACTCTTTCTGTAGAATCTGAAAGGGATATTTGGAGCGCTTTGCAGCCTATGGTGAAAAAGGAAATATCTTCACATAAAAGCTAGACAGAAGCATTCTAAGAAAGTGCTTTGTGACGTGTGCATTCATCTCACAGTGTTGAACCTTTCTTTTGATTGAGCAGTTTTGAAACACTCTTATTGTAGAATCTGCAAGTGGATATTTGGAGAGTTTGAGGCCACTGGTGGAAAAGCAAATATCTTCACATCAAAACCAGACAGAATCATTATAAGTAATCTCTTTGAGATGCGTGCATTCAACTCACAGAGTTGGACATTTCCTTTGATTGAGCAGTTTGGAAACAGTCTTTTTGCAGTATCTGCAAGCGGATATTTGGAGCACTTTCAGGCCTATAGTAGGAAAGGAAATATCTTCACATAAAAACTAGACAGAAAATTACTGAGAAATTTCTCAGTGATGTGTGCATTCATCTCACAGAGTTGAAACTTTCTTTTGATTGAGCAGTTTGGAAACACTCTTTTAGTAGAAACTGCAAGGGGATATTTGGAGCACTTTGTGGTCTTTGGTAGAAAAGGATATATCTTCACATTAAAAATAGACAGAAGCATTCTGAGGAACTTCCTGATGTGTGCATTCATCTCAAAGAGTTGAAATTTTCTTTTGATTGAGCAGCTTTGAAAAACCCTTTCTGCAGAATCTGCAAGTTGATATTTGGAGCGCTTTGTGGCCTATAGTAGAAAAGGAAATATCTTTACTTAAAACTAGACAGAAGTATTCTGAGAAACTTCTTTGTGATGTGTGCATTCATCTCACAGAGTTGAATCTTTCTTTTGTTTGAGCAGTTTTGAAACTCTCTTTCTGTAGAATCTTCAAGTGGATATTTTCAGCGCTTTGAGGCCTATCTTGGAAAAGAAAATATCTTCCCATAAAAACTAGTCAGAACCATTCTGAGAAACTTCTTTATGACGTGTGCATTCAACTCATGGAGTTCAACCTTTCTTTTGATTCAGCAGTTTGGAAACAGTCTTTTTACAGTATCTGCAAATGGCTATTTGGAGAGCTTTGAGGCCTATGGTGGAAAAGGAAATCTCTTCCCATTAAAACTAGGCAGCAGCATTCTGAGAAACTTATTTGTGATCTGTGCATTCATCTCCCAGAGTTGAACCTTTCTTTTGATTCAGCAGTTTTGAAACTGCCTTTTTGTAGAATCTGCAAAGGAATATTTGTGAGCCCATTGAGGCTTCTGGGGTGATAGGAAATATCTTCACGTAAAAACTAGACAGATAATTTCTGAGAAACTATTTTGTCATGTGTGACTTCTACTCACCGGGTTGAAACTTTCTCTTGATTGAGCAGTTTGGAAACAGTCTTTTTGTAGAATCTGCAAATTGATATTTGGAGTGCTTTTGGCCTACGTTGAAAAACGAAATATCTTCCCATAAAAAGTAGGCAGAAGTTTTGGAGAAATTTATTTTGATGTGTGCATTCATCTCACACAGTTGAAATTTTCTTTTGATTGAGCAGTGTGGATACACTCGTTTTGTAGAGTCTGCAAGTGGATATTTGGAGCACTTTGTGGCCTATAGTGAAAAAGGAAATATCTTCACATAAAAACTAGATAGAAGAATTCTGAGAAACTTCCTTTGAATGTGTGCATTCATCTCACAGTGTTGAACTTTTTTCTTGATTGAGCAGCTTCTAAACAGTCATTTTGTAGAATATGCAAAGGAATATTTGTGAGCCCATTGATGCCTCTGGGGAAATAGGAAATATCTTCAAATAAAAACTAGACAGAATCTTTCTCAGAAACGTCTTTGTGATGTGTGCATTCATCTCACTGAGTTGAACTTTACTTTGATTGAGCAGTTTGGAAACAGTCTTTTCTAGTATCTGCAAATGGATATTTTAAGCACTCTGAGGCCTACGGTGAAAAAGGAAATATCTTCAATATAAATCAGACAGAAGCATTCATAGAAACTTCTTTGTGATGTGTGCATTCATCTCACCGACTAGAACCTTTCTTTTGGTTGAGCAGTTTTGAAACACTCTTTTAGCGGAATCTGCAAGTGTTTATTTGGAGCGCATGAGGAATATGGTGGAAAAGGAATCTTCTTCACATGAAAACGAGACGGAAGCATTCTGAGAAACTTCTCTGTGATGGATGCATTCATTTCACAGAGTTAAAACTTTCCTGTGATTGAGCGGTTTGGAAACAGTAGTTTTTTACAATCTGCAGAAGGATACTTGTGAGCCGATTGAGGTCTATGGGGTGATAAGAAATATGTTCACATAAAAACTAGATAGAAAGTTTCTGAGAAACTTCTTTGTGATATTTGCTTTTATCTCCTAGAGTTGAAACTTTCTTTTTATTGAGCAGTTTGGGAACAGTCTTTTTGTAGTATCTGCAAATGGATATTACCAGTGCTTTGAGGCCTATGGTGAAAAAGGAAATATCTTCACATAAAAACAAGGCGGAAGCATTCTGAGAAACTTATATTTGATGTCTGCATTCATCTCTCAGAGTTGAACCTTTCTTTTGATTGAGCAGTTTTGAGAAGCTCTATTTGTAGTATCTGCAAGTGGATATTTGGAACGCTTTGAGGCCTATAGTGGAAAAGGAAATATCTTCACATAAAAAACTAGAAAGAAGAATTCTGAGAAACTTCCTAGGAAGGTGTATTTTCGTCTCACACTGTTAAACCTGTCTTTTGATTGAGCAGCTTTGATACAGTCATTTAGTAGAATATGAAAGGGAATATTTGAGAGCCCATTGAGGCCTCTGGGGAAATAAGAAATATCTTCACCTAAAAACTAGACAAAAACTTTCTGAGAAATACCCTTGTGTTGTGTGCATTCATCATACACAGTTGAACTTTCTTTTGATTGAGCAGTTTGGATACAGTCATTTGTATTATCTGTAAATGGGTATTTGGAGTGTACTGAGGCCTATGGTGAAAAAGGAAATATCCTCACATAAAATTCAGATGGAAGCATTCTTAGAAACTCCTTTGTGATGTGTGCATTCATCTCACAGACTTCAAACTTTCTATTGATTGAGCAGTTTTGAAACACTCTTTTTGTAGAATCTGCCAGTGGATATTTGGAGCGCTCTGTGGCCAATAGTGGAAAAGGAAATATCTTCATAAAAAAAATAAACAGAAGCACTTTGAGAAACTTCTCTGTGTTGTATGCAGTCATATCTCAGACATGAAAATGTCTTTGGTACAGCAGTTTTAAAACACTCTTTTTGGAGATTCTGAAAGTAGATATTTGGAGAGACTTGAGGACTACGGTGGAAAAGGAAATATCTTCACAAAAAAACTAGACAGGAACATTCTGAGAAGCTTCTTTGTGATGTGTGCATCCATCTCAAAGAGTTGAACCTTTCTTTTCATTGAGCATTTTTGAAGCACTCTTTTTGTAGAAACTTCAAGTGGATATTTGGAGTGTTTGTGGCCTGTGGTGGAAAAGGAAATATATTCACATAAAAACTAGATAGAAGCATTCTGAGAAACTTCTTTGTGATGTCCTCATTCAACTCACAGAGTTGAGCTTTTCTTTTGATTGAGCAGTTTGGAAACAGTCTTTTTGTAGAATCTGCAAGTGGATATTTGGAGCGCATGACGGCCTATAGTGGAAAAGGAAATATATTCACATAAAAACTAGACAGAAGCATTCTGAGAAACTTCTTCGTGATGTGCTCATTCAACTCACAGAGTTGAACTTTTCTTCTGTTTGAGCAGTTTGGAAACAGTCTTTTTGTAGAATCTGCAAGTGGATATTAGGAGTGCATTACGGCCTATAGTGGAAAATGAAATATCTTCACATAAAAACTAGACAGAAACATTATGAGAAACTGCTTTGTGATGCGTGCATTCATCACCAGAGTTGAATTTCTCTTTTGATTGAACAGTTTTGAAACACTCTTTCTGTAGAATCTGAAAGGGATATTTGGAGCGCTTTGCAGCCTATGGTGAAAAAGAAATATCTTCACATATAAGCTAGACAGAAGCATTCTGAGAAGGTGGTTTGTGATGTGTGCATTCATCTCACAGAGTTAAACCTTTCTTTGGATTGAGCAGTTTTGAAACACTCTTATTGTACAATCTGCAAGTGGATATTTGGAGAGTTTGAGGCCACTGGTGGAAAAGCAAATATCTTCACATAAAAACTAGAGAGAATCATTATAAGTAATCTCTTTGAGATGCGTGCATTCAACTCACAGAGTTGGACATTTCCTTTGATTGAGCAGTTTGGAAACAGTCTTTTTGCAGTATCTGCAAACGGATATTTGGAGCACTTTCAGGCCTATAGTAGGAAAGGAAATATCTTCACATAAAAACTAGACAGAAAATTACTGAGAAACTTCTTAATGATGTGTGCATTCATCTCACAGAGTTGAAACTTTCTTTTGATTGAGCCGTTTGGAAACACTCTTTTAGTAGAAACTGCAAGGGGATATTTGGAGCGTTTTGTGGTCTATGGTAGAAAAGGATATATCTTCACATAAAAATAGAAGCATTCTGAGGAACTTCCTGATGTGTACATTCATCTCAAAGAGTTGAACTTTTCTTTTGATTGAGCAGCTTTGAAAAACTCTTTCTGCAGAATCTGCAAGTTGATATTTGGGGTGCTTTGTGGCCTATAGTAGAAAAGGAAATATCTTTACATAAAACTAGACAGAAGCATTCTGAGAAACTTCTTTGTGATGTGTGCATTCATCTCACAGAGTTCAATCTTTCTTTTGTTTGAGCAGTTTTGAAACTCTCTTTTGGTAGAATCTTCAAGTGGATATTTTCAGCGCTTTGAGGCCTACGGTGGAAAAGAAAATATCTTCACATAAAAACTAGTCAGAAGCATTCTGAGAAACTTCTTTGTGACGTGTGCATTCAACTCATGGAGTTCAACCTTTCTTTTGATTCAGCAGTTTGGAAACAGTCTTTTTACAGTATCTGCAAATGGCTATTTGGAGAGCTTTGACGCCTATGGTGGAAAAGGAAATCTCTTCTCATAAAAACTAGACAGCTACTTTCTGAGAAACTATTTTGTCATGTGTGACTTCTACTCACCGGGTTGAAACTTTCTGTTGATTGAGCAGTTTGGAAACAGTCTTTTTGTAGAATCTGCAAATTGATATTTGGAGTGCTTTTGGCCTACGTTGAAAAACGAAATATCTTCCCATAAAAAGTAGGCAGAAGTTTTGGAGAAATTTATTTTGATGTGTGCACTCATCTCACACAGTTGAAATTTTCTTTTGATTGAGCAGTGTGGATACACTCGTTTTGTAGAGTCTGCAAGTGGATATTTGGAGCACTTTGTGGCCTATAGAGAAAAAGGAAATATCTTCACATAAAAACTAGATAGAAGAATTCTGAGAAACTTCCTTTGAGTGGGCGCATTCATCTCACACTGTTGAACTTTTTTTTTGATTGAGCACCTTCTAAACAGTCATTTTGTAGAATATGCAAAGGAATATTTGTGAGCCCATTGATGCTTCTGGGGAAACAGGAAATATCTTCACATAAAAACGAGACAGAATCTTTCTCAGAAACGTCTTGGTGATGTGTGCATTCATCTCACTGAGTTGAACTTTATTTTGATTGAGCAGTTTGGAAACAGTCTTTTCTAGTATCTGCAAATGGATATTTTAAGCACTCTGAGGCCTACGGTGAAAAAGGAAATATCTTCAATATAAATCAGACAGAAGCATTCATAGAAACTTCTTTGTGATGTGTGCATTCATCTCACCGACTAGAACCTTTCTTTTGATTGAGCAGTTTTGAAACACTCTTTTAGCGGAATCTGCAAGTGTTTATTTGGAGCGCATGAGGAATATGGTGGAAAAGGAATCTTCTTCACATGAAAACGAGACGGAAGCATTCTGAGAAACTTCTCTGTGATGGATGCATTCATTTCACAGAGTTAAACCTTTCCTGTGATTGAGCGGTTTGGAAACAGTATTTTTTTACAATCTGCAGAAGGATACTTGTGAGCCGATTGAGGTCTATGGGGTGATAAGAAATATGTTCACATAAAAACTAGATAGAAAGTTTCTGAGAAACTTCTTTGTGATATTTGCTTTTATCTCCTAGAGTTGAAACTTTCTTTTTATTGAGCAGTTTGGGAACAGTCTTTTTGTAGTATCTGCAAATGGATATTACCAGTGCTTTGAGGCCTATGGTGAAAAAGGAAATATCTTCACATAAAAACAAGGCAGAAGCATTCTGAGAAGCTTCTTTTTCATGTCTGCATTCATCTCGCAGTGTTGAAACTTTCTTTTGATTGAGCAGTTTTGAAACGCTCTATTTGTAGTATCTGCAAGTGGATATTTGGAACGCTTTGAGGCCTATAGTGGAAAAGGAAATATCTTCACATAAAAAACTAGAAAGAAGAATTCTGAGAAACTTCCTAGGAAGGTGTATTTTCGTCTCACACTGTTAAACCCGTCTTTTGATTGAGCAGCTTCGATACAGCCATTTAGTAGAATATGAAAGGGTATATTTGAGAGCCCATTGAGGCCTCTGGGGAAATAAGAAATATCTTCACCTAAAAACTAGACAAAAACTTTCTGAGAAACACCCTTGTGATGTGTGCATTCATCATACAAAGTTGAACTTTCTTTTGATTGAGCAGTTTGGATACAGTCATTTGTATTATCTGTAAATGGATATTTGGAGTGTACTGAGGCCTATGGTGAAAAAGGAAATATCCTCACATAAAATTCAGATGGAAGCATTCTTAGAAACTCCTATGTGATGTGTGCATTCATCTCACAGACTTCAAACTTTCTATTGATTGAGCAGTTTTGAAACACTCTTTTTGTAGAATCTGCCAGTGGATATTTGGAGCGCTCTGTGGCCCATAGTGGAAAAGGAAATATCTTCATAAAAAAAATAAACAGAAGCACTTTGAGAAAGTTCTCTGTGTTGTATGCAGTCATAAATCAGACATGAAACTTTCTTTGGTACAGCAGTTTTGAAACACTCTTTTTGGAGATTCTGAAAGTAGATATTTGGAGAGACTTGAGGACTACGGTGGAAAAGGAAATATCTTCACAAAAAAACTAGACAGAAACATTCTGAGAAGCTTCTTTGTGATGTGTGCATCCATCTCAAAGAGTTGAACCTTTCTTTTGATTGACCATTTTTGAAGCACTCTTTTTGTAGAATCTTCAAGTGGATATTTGGAGTGTTTGTGGCCTGTGGTGGAAAAGGAAATATATTCACATAAAAACTAGATAGAAGCATTCTGAGAAACTTCTTTGTGATGTGCTCATTCAACTCACAGAGTTGAGCTTTTCTTTTGATTGAGCAGTTTGGAAACAGTCTTTCTGTAGAATCTGCAGGTGGATATTTGGAGCGCATTACGGCCTATAGTGGAAAAGGAAATATATTCACATAAAAACTAGACAGAAGCATTCAGAGAAACCTCTTTGTGATGTGCTCATTCAACTCACAGAGTTGATCTTTTCTTTTGTTTGAGCAGTTTGCAAACAGTCTTTTTGTAGAATCTGCAAGTGGATATTAGGAGTGCATTACGGCCTATAGTGGAGAATGAAATATCTTCACATAAAAACTAGACAGAAACATTATGAGAAACTGCTCTGTGATGCGTGCATTCATCACCAGGGTTGAACCTTTCTTTTGATTGAACAGTTTTGAAACACTCTTTCTGTAGAATCTGAAGGGGATATTTGGAACGCCTTGCGGCCTATGGTGAAAAACGAAATATCTTCACATAAAAACTAGACAGATGCATTCTGAGAAAGTGCTTTGTGAGGTGTACATTCATCTCACAGAGTTAAACCTTTCTTTTGATTGAGCAGTTTTGAAACACTCTTATTGTACAATCTGCAAGTGGATATTTGGAGAGTTTGAGGCCACTGGTGGAAAAGCAAATATCTTCACATAAAAACTAGACAGAACCATTCTGAGAAATCTCTTTGAGATGCGTGCATTCAACTCACAGAGTTGGACCTTTCCTTTGATTGAGCAGTTTGGAAACAGTCTTTTTGCAGTATATGCAAATGGATATTTGGAGCACTTTCAGGCCTATAGTAGGAAAGGAAATATCTTCACATAAAAACTAGACAGAAAATTACTGAGAAACTTCTTAATGATGTGTGCATTCATCTCACAGAGTTGAAACTTTCTTTTGATTGAGCCGTTTGGAAACACTCTTTTAGTAGAAACTGCAAGGAGATATTTGGAGCATTTTGTGGTCTATGGTAGAAAAGGATATATCTTCACATAAAAATAGAAGCATTTTGAGGAACTTCATGATGTGTGCATTCATCTCAAAGAGTTGAACTTTTCTTTTGATTGAGTAGCTTTGAAAAACTCTTTCTGCAGAATCTGCAAGTTGATATTTGGAGTGCTTTGTGACCTATAGTAGAAAAGGAAATATCTTTACTTAAAACTAGACAGAAGCATTCTGAGAAACTTCTTTGTGATGTGTGCATTCATCTCACAGAGTTGAATCTTTCTTTTGTTTGAGCAGTTTTGAAACTCTCTTTCTGTAGAATCTTCAAGTGGATATTTTCAGCGCTTTGAGGCCTATGGTGGAAAAGAAAATATCTTCACATAAAAAGTAGTCAGAAGCATTCTGAGAAACTTCTTTGTGACGTGTGCATTCAACTCATGGAGTTCAACCTTTCTTTTGATTCAGCAGTTTGGAAACAGTCTTTTTACAGTATCTGCAAATGGATATTTGGAGAGCTTTGAGGCCTATGGTGGAAAAGGAAATCTCTTCCCATAAAAACTAGACAGCTACTTTCTGAGAAACTATTTTGTCATGTGTGACTTCTACTCACCGGGTTGAAACTTTCTGTTGATTGAGCAGTTTGGAAACAGTCTTTTTGTAGAATCTGCAAATTGATATTTGGAGCGCTTTTGGCCTACGTTGAAAAACGAAATATCTTCCCATAAAAAGTAGGCAGAAGTTTTGGAGAAATTTATTTTGATGTGTGCATTCATCTCGCACAGTTGAAATTTTCTTTTGATTGAGCAGTGTGGATACATTCGTTTTGTAGAGTCTGCAAGTGGATATTTGGAGCACTTTCTGGCCTACAGTGAAAAAGGAAATATCTTCACATAAAAACTAGATAGAAGAATTCTGAGAAACTTCCTTTGAATGTGCACGTTCATCTCACAGTGTTGCACTTTTTTTTTTTGACTGAGCACCTTCTAAACAGTCATTTTGTAGAATATGCAAAGGAATATTTGTGAGCCCATTGATGCCACTGGGGAATTAGGAAATATCTTCACATAAAAACTAGACAGATAATCTTTCTCAGAAACGTCTTGGTGATGTGTGCATTCATCTCACTGAGTTGAACTTTATTTTGATTGAGCAGTTTGGAAACAGTCTTTTCTAGTATCTGCAAATGGATATTTTAAGCACTCTGAGGCCTACGGTGAAAAAGGAAATATCTTCAATATAAATCAGACAGAAGCATTCATAGAAACTTCTTTGTGATGTGTGCATTCATCTCACCGACTAGAACCTTTCTTTTGATTGAGCAGTTTTGAAACACTCTTTTAGCGGAATCTGCAAGTGTTTATTTGGAGCACATGAGGAATATGGTGGAAAAGGAATCTTCTTCACATAAAAACGAGACGGAAGCATTCTGAGAAATTTTTCTGTGATGGGTGCATTCATTTCACAGAGTTGAACCCTTCCTGTGATTGAATGGTTTGGAAACAGTCGTTTTGTATAAGCTGCAGAAGGATATTTGTGAGCCGATTGAGGCCTATGGGGCGATAGGAAATATGTTCACATAAAAACCAGATAGAAAGTTTCTGAGAAACTTCTTTGTGATATTAGCTTTTATCTCATAGAGTTGAAAATTTCTTTTTATTGAGCAGTTTGGGAACAGTCTTTTTGTAGTATCTGCAAATGGATATTACCAGTGCTTTGAGGCCTATGGTGAAAAAGGAAATATCTTCACATAAAAACAAGGCGGAAGCATTCTGAGAAACTTCTTTTTGATGTCTGCATTCATCTCACAGAGTTGAACCTTTCTTTTGATTGAGCAGTTTTGAAAGGCTCTATTTGTAGGATCTGCAAGTGGATATTTGGAACGCTTTGAGGCCTATAGTGGAAAACGAAATATCTTCACATAAAAACCTAGAAAGAAGAATTCTGAGAAACTTCCTAGGAAGGTGTATTTTCGTCTCACACTGTTAAACCCGTCTTTTGATTGAGCAGCTTCGATACAGCCATTTAGTAGAATATGAAAGGGAATATTTGAGAGCCCATTGAGGCCTCTGGGGAAATAAGAAATATCTTCACCTAAAAACTAGACAAAAACTTTCTGAGAAACACCCTTGTGATGTGTGCATTCATCATACACAGTGGAACGTTCTTTTGATTGAGCAGTTTGGATACAGTCATTTGTATTATCTGTAAATGGATATTTGGAGTGTACTGAGGCCTATGGTGAAAAAGGAAATATCCTCACATAAAATTCAGATGGAAGCATTCTTAGAAACTCCTTTGTGATGTGTACATTCATCTCACAGACTTCAAACTTTCTATTGATTGAGCAGTTTTGAAACACTCTTTTTGTAGAATCTGCCAGTGGATATTTGGAGCGCTCTGTGGCCCATAGTGGAAAAGGAAATATCTTCATAAGAAAAATAAACAGAAGCACTTTGAGAAACTTCTCTGTGTTGTATGCAGTCATATTTCAGACATGAAACTTTCTTTGGTACCGCAGTTTTAAAACACTCTTTTTGGAGATTCTGAAAGTAGATATTTGGAGAGACTTGAGGACTACGGTGGAAAAGGAAATATCTTCACAAAAAAACTAGACAGAAACATTCTGAGAAGCTTCTTTGTGATGTGTGCATCCATCTCAAAGAGTTGAACCTTTCTTTTGATTGAGCATTTTTGAAGCACTCTTTTTGTAGAAACTTCAAGTGGATATTTGGAGTGTTTGTGGCCTGTGGTGGAAAAGGAAATATATTCACATAAAAACTAGATAGAAACATTCTGAGAAGCTTCTTTGTGATGTGCTCATTCATCTCACAGAGTTGAACTTTTCTTTTGATTGAGCACTTTGGAAACAGTCTTTTTGTAGAATCTGCAGGTGGATATTTGGAGCACATTACGGCCTATAGTGGAAAAGGAAATATATTCACATAAAAACTAGACAGAAACATTCTGAGAAACTTCTTTGTGATGTGCTCATTCAACTCACAGAGTTGAACTTTTCTTTTGTTTGAGCAGTTTGCAAACAGTCTTTCTGTAGAATCTGCAAGTGGATATTAGGAGTGCATTACGGCCTATAGTGGAAAATGAAATAACTTCACATAAAAACTAGACAGAAACATTATGAGAAACTGCTTTGTGATGCGTGCATTCATCACCAGAGTTGAGTTTCTCTTTTGATTGAACAGTTTTGAAACACTCTTTCTGTAGAATCTGAAAGGGATATTTGGAGCGCTTTGCAGCCTATGGTGAAAAAGGAAATATCTTCACATAAAAGCTAGACAGAAGCATTTTAAGAAAGTGCTTTGTGACGTGTGCATTCATCTCACAGTGTTGAACCTTTCTTTTGATTGAGCAGTTTTGAAACACTCTTATTGTAGAATCTGCAAGTGGATATTTGGAGAGTTTGAGGCCACTGGTGGAAAAGCAAATATCTTCACATCAAAACTAGTCAGAATCATTATAAGTAATCTCTTTGAGATGCGTGCATTCAACTCACAGAGTTGGACATTTCCTTTGATTGAGCAGTTTGGAAACAGTCTTTTTGCAGTATCTGCAAACGGATATTTGGAGCACTTTCAGGCCTATAGTAGGAAAGGAAATATCTTCACATAAAAACCATACAGAAAATTACTGAGAAACTTGTTAGTGATGTGTGCATTCATCTCACAGAGTTGAAACTTTCTTTTGATTGAGCAGTTTGGAAACACTCTTTTAGTAGAAACTGCAAGGGGATATTTGGAGCACTTTGCGGTCTTTGGTAGAAAAGGATATATCTTCACATAAAAAATAGACAGAAGCATTCTGAGGAACTTCTTAATGATGTGTGCATTCGTCTCACAGAGTTGAACTTTTCTTTTGATTGAGAGCTTGAAAAACTCTTTCTGCAGAATCTGCACGTTGATATTTGGAGTGCTTTGAGGCCTACAGTGGAAAAGGAAATATATTCACATAAAACTAGACAGAAGCATTCTGAGAAACTTCTTTGTGATGTGTGCATTCATCTCACAGAGTTGAATCTTTCTTTTGTTTGAGCAGTTTTGAAACTCTCTTTCTGTAGAATCTTCAAGTGGATATTTTCAGCGCTTTGAGGCCTATGGTGGAAAAGAAAATATCTTCACATAAAAACTAGTCAGAAGCATTCTGGGAAATTTTTGTGACGTGTGCATTCAACTCATGGAGTTCAACCTTTCTTTTGATTCAGCAGTTTGGAAACAGTCTTTTTACAGTATCTGCAAATGGCTATTTGGAGAGCTTTGAGGCCTATGGTGGAAAAGGAAATATCTTCCCATAAAAACTAGACAGCAGCATTCTGAGAAACTTATTTGTGATCTGTGCATTCATCTCACAGAGTTGAACCTTTCTTTTGATTCAGCAGTTTTGAAACTGTCGTTTTGTAGAATCTGCAAATTGATATTTGGAGTGCTTTTGACCTACGTTGAAAAACGAAATATCTTCCCATAAAAAGTAGGCAGATACTTTCTGAGAAACTATTTTGTCATGTGTGACTTCTACTCACCGGGTTGAAACTTTCTGTTGATTGAGCAGTTTGGAAACAGTCTTTTTGTAGAATCTGCAAATTGATATTTGGAGTGCTTTTGGCCTACGTTGAAAAACTAAATATCTTCCCATAAAAAGTAGGCAGAAGTTTTGGAGAAATTTATTTTGATGTGTGCATTCATCTCACACAGTTGAAATTTTCTTTTGATTGAGCAGTGTGGATACACTCGTTTCGTAGAGTCTGCAAGTGGATATTTGGAGCACTTTGTGGCCTATAGTGAAAAAGGAAATATCTTCACATAAAAACTAGATAGAAGAATTCTGAGAAACTTCCTTTGAATGGGCGCATTCATCTCACACTGTTGAACTTTTTTTTTGATTGAGCACCTTCTAAAGAGTCATTTTGTAGAATCTGCAAAGGAATATTTGTGAGCCCATTGATGCCTCTGGGGAAACAGGAAATATCTTCACATAAAAACGAGACAGAATCTTTCTCAGAAACGTCTTGGTGATGTGTGCATTCATCTCACTGAGTTGAACTTTAATTTGATTGAGCAGTTTGGAAACAGTCTTTTCTAGTATCTGCAAATGGATATTTTAAGCACTCTGAGGCCTACGGTGAAAAAGGAAATATCTTCAATATAAATCAGACAGAAGCATTCATAGAAACGTCTTTGTGATGTGTGCATTCATCTCACCGACTAGAACCTGTCTTTTGATTGAGCAGTTTTGAAACACTCTTTTAGCGGAATCTGCAAGTGTTTCTTTGGAGCGCATGAGGAATATGGTGGAAAAGGAATCTTCTTCACATAAAAACGAGACGGAAGCATTCTGAGAAACTTCTCTGTGATGGATGCATTCATTTCACAGAGTTAAACCTTTCCTGTGATTGAGCGGTTTGGAAACAGTAGATTTTTATAATCTGCAGAAGGATACTTGTGAGCCGATTGAGGTCTATGGGGTGATAAGAAATATGTTCACATAAAAACTAGATAGAAAGTTTCTGAGAAACTTCTTTGTGATATTTGCTTTTATCTCCTAGAGTTGAAACTTTCTTTTTATTGAGCAGTTTGGGAACAGTCTTTTTGTAATATCTGCAAATGGATATTACCAGTGCTTTGAGGCCTATGGTGAAAAAGGAAATATCTTCACATAAAAACAAGGCGGAAGCATTCTGAGAAAGTTTTTTTGATGTCTGCATTCATCTCACAGAGTTGAACCTTTCTTTTGATTGAGCAGTTTTGAAACGCTCTATTTGTAGTATCTGCAAGTGGATATTTGGAACGCTTTGAGGCCTATAGTGGAAAAGGAAATATCTTCACATAAAAAACTAGAAAGAAGAATTCTGAGAAACTTCCTAGGAAGGTGTATTTTCGTCTCACACTGTTAAACCCGTCTTTTGATTGAGCAGCTTCGATACAGTCATTTAGTAGAATATGAAAGGGAATATTTGAGAGCCCATTGAGGCCTCTGGGGAAATAAGAAATATCTTCACCTAAAAACAAGACAAAAACTTTCTGAGAAACACCCTTGTGATGTGTGCATTCATCATACACAGTTGAACTTTCTTTTGATTGAGCAGTTTGGATACAGTCATTTCTATTATCTGTAAATGGATATTTGGAGTGTACTGAGGCCTATGGTGAAAAAGGAAATATCCTCACATAAAATTCAGATGGAAGCATTCTTAGAAACTCCTATGTGATGTGTGCATTCATCTCACAGACTTCAAACTTTCTATTGACTGAGCAGTTTTGAAACACTCTTTTTGTAGAATCTGCCAGTGGATATTTGGAGCGCTCTGTGGCCCATAGTGGAAAAGGAAATATCTTCATAAAAAAAATAAACAGAAGCACTTTGAGAAACTTCTCTGTGTTGTATGCAGTCATATCTCAGACATGAAAATTTCTTTGGTACAGCAGTTTTAAAACACTCTTTTTGGAGATTCTGAAAGTAGATATTTGGAGAGACTTGAGGACTACGGTGGAAAAGGAAATATCTTCACAGAAAAACTAGACAGAAACATTCTGAGAAGCTTCTTTGTGATGTGTGCATCCATCTCAAAGAGTTGAAACTTTCTTTTGATTGAGCATTTTTGAAGCACTCTTTTTGTAGAATCTTCAAGTGGATATTTGGAGTGTTTGTGGCCTGTGGTGGAAAAGGAAATATATTCACATAAAAACTAGATAGAAGCATTCTGAGAAACTTCTTTGTGATGTGCTCATTCAACTCACAGAGTTGAGCTTTTCTTTTGATTGAGCAGTTTGGAAACAGTCTTTTTGTAGAATCTGCAGGTGGATATTTGGAGCGCATTACGGCCTATAGTGGAAAAGGAAATATATTCACATAAAATCTAGACAGAAGCATTCTGAGAAACTTCTTTGTGATGTGCTCATTCAACTCACAGAGTTGAACTTTTCTTTTGTTTGAGCAGTTTGCAAACAGTCTTTTTGTAGAATCTGCAAGTGGATATTAGGAGTGCATTACAGCCTATAGTGGAGAATGAAATATCTTCACATAAAAACTAGACAGAAACATTATGAGAAACTGCTTTGTGATGCGTGCATTCATCACCAGAGTTGAGTTTCTCTTTTGATTGAACAGTTTTGAAATACTCTTTCTGTAGAATCTGAAAGGGATATTTGGAGCGCTTTGCAGCCTATGGTGAAAAAGGAAATATCTTCACATAAAAGCTAGACAGAAGCATTCTAAGAAAGTGCTTTGTGACGTGTGCATTCATCTCACAGTGTTGAACCTTTCTTTTGATTGAGCAGTTTTGAAACACTCTTATTGTAGAATCTGCAACTGGATATTTGGAGAGTTTGAGGCCACTGGTGGAAAAGCAAATATCTTCACATCAAAACTAGACAGGATCATTATAAGTAATCTCTTTGAGATGCGTGCATTCAACTCACAGAGTTGGACATTTCCTTTGATTGAGCAGTGTGGAAACAGTCTTTTTGCAGTATCTGCAAACGGATATTTGCAGCACTTTCAGGCCTATAGTAGGAAAGGAAATATCTTCACATAAAAACTAGACAGAAAATTACTGAGAAACTTCTTAATGATGTGTGCATTCATCTCACAGAGTTGAAACTTTCTTTTGATTGAGCCGTTTGGAAACACTCTTTTCGTAGAAACTGCAAGGGGATATTTGGAGCGTTTTGTGGTCTATGGTAGAAAAGGATATATCTTCACATAAAAATAGAAGCATTCTGAGGAACTTCATGATGTGTGCATTCATCTCAAAGAGTTGAACTTGTCTTTTGACTGAGCAGCTTTGAAAAACTCTTTCTGCAGAATCTGCAAGTTGATATTTGGAATGCTTTGTGGCCTATAGTAGAAAAGGAAATATCTTTACATAAAACTAGACAGAAGCATTCTGAGAAACGTCTTTGTGACGTGTGCATTCATGTCACAGAGTTGAACCTTTCTTTTGTTTGAGCAGTTTTGAAACCCTCTTTTTGTAGAATCTTCAAGTGGATATTTTTAGCACTTTGGGGCCTATGGTGGAAAAGAAAACATCTTCACATAAAAACTAGTCAGAAGCATTCTGAGAAACTTCTTTGTGACGTGTGCATTCAACTCATGGAGTTCAACCTTTCTTTTGATTCAGCAGTTTGGAAACAGTCTTTTTACAGTATCTGCAAATGGCTATTTGGAGAGCTTTGAGGCCTATGGTGGAAAAGGAAATCTCTTCCCATAAAAACTAGACAGCTACTTTCTGAGAAACTATTTTGTCATGTGTGACTTCTACTCACCGGGTTGAAACTTTCTCTTGATTGAGCAGTTTGGAAACAGTCTTTTTGTAGAATCTGCAAATTGATATTTGGAGTGCTTTTGGCCTACGTTGAAAAACGAAATATCTTCCCATAAAAAGTAGGCAGAAGTTTTGGAGAAATTTATTTTGATGTGTGCACTCATCTCACACAGTTGAAATTTTCTTTTGATTGAGCAGTGTGGATACACTCGTTTTGTAGAGTCTGCAAGTGGATATTTGGAGCACTTTGTGGCCTATAGTGAAAAAGGAAATATCTTCACATAAAAACTAGATAGAAGAATTCTGAGAAACTTCCTTTGAATGGGCGCATTCATCTCACACTGTTGAACTTTTTTTTTGATTGAGCACCTTCTAAACAGTCATTTTGTAGAATATGCAAAGGAATATTTGTGAGCCCATTGATGCCTCTGGGGAAACAGGAAATATCTTCACATAAAAACGAGACAGAATCTTTCTCAGAAACGTCTTGGTGATGTGTGCATTCATCTCACTGAGTTGAACTTTACTTTGATTGAGCAGTTTGGAAACAGTCTTTTCTAGTATCTGCAAATGGATATTTTAAGCATTCTGAGGCCTACGGTGAAAAAGGAAATATCTTCAATATAAATCAGACAGAAGCATTCATAGAAACTGCTTTGTGATGTGTGCATTCATCTCACCGACTAGAACCTTTCTTTTGATTGAGCAGTTTTGAAACACTCTTTTAGCGGAATCTGCAAGTGTTTATTTGGAGCGCATGAGGAATATGGTGGAAAAGGAATATTCTTCACATGGAAACGAGACGGAAGCATTCTGAGAAACTTCTCTGTGATGGATGCATTCATTTCACAGAGTTAAACCTTTCCTGTGATTGAGCGGTTTGGAAACAGTAGTTTTTCATAATCTGCAGAAGGATACTTGTGAGCCGATTGAGGTCTATGGGGTGATAAGAAATATGTTCACATAAAAACTAGATAGAAAGTTTCTGAGAAACTTCTTTGTGATATTTGCTTTTATCTCATAGAGTTGAAACTTTCTTTTTATTGAGCAGTTTGGGAACAGTCTTTTTGTAGTATCTGCAAATGGATATTACCAGTGCTTTGAGGCCTATGGTGAAAAAGGAAATATCTTCACATAAAAACAAGGCAGAAGCATTCTGAGAAACTTCTTTTTGATGTCTGCATTCATCTCACAGAGTTGAACCTTTCCTTTGATTGAGCAGTTTTGAAACGCTCTATTTGTAGTATCTGCAAGTGGATATTTGGAACGCTTTGAGGCCTATAGTGGAAAAGGAAATATCTTCACATAAAAAACTAGAAAGAAGAATTCTGAGAAACTTCCTAGGAAGGTGTATTTTCGTCTCACACTGTTAAACCCCTCTTTTGATTGAGCAGCTTCGATACAGTCATTTAGTAGAATATGAAAGGGAATATTTGAGAGCCCATTGAGGCCTCTGGGGAAATAAGAAATATCTTCACCTAAAAACTAGACAAAAACTTTCTGAGAAACACCCTTGTGATGTGTGCATTCATCATACACAGTTGAACTTTCTTTTGATTGAGCAGTTTGGATACAGTCATTTGTATTATCTGTAAATGGATATTTGGAGTGTATTGAGGCCTATGGTGAAAAAGGAAATATCCTCACATAAAATTCAGATGGAAGCATTCTTAGAAACTCCTTTGTGGTGTGTGCATTCATCTCACAGACTTCAAACTTTCTATTGATTGAGCAGTTTTGAAACACTCTTTTTGTAGAATCTGCAAGTCGATATTTGGAGCGCTCTGTGGCCCATAGTGGAAAAGGAATTATCTTCATAAAAAAAATAAACAGAAGCACTTTGAGAAACTTCTCTGTGTTGTATGCAGTCATATCTCAGACATGAAACTTTCTTTGGTACAGCAGTTTTAAAACACTCTTTTTGGAGATTCTGAAAGTAGATATTTGGAGAGACTTGAGGACTACGGTGGAAAAGGAAATATCTTCACAAAAAAACTAGACAGAAACATTCTGAGAAAGCTTCTTTGTGATGTGTGCATCCATCTCAAAGAGTTGAACCTTTCTTTTGATTGAGCATTTTTGAAGCACTCTTTTTGTAGAAACTTCAAGTGGATATTTGGAGTGTTTGTGGCCTGTGGTGGAAAAGGAAATATATTCACATAAAAACTAGATAGAAGCATTCTGAGAAACTTCTTTGTGATGTGCTCATTCCACTCACAGAGTTGAGCTTTTCTTTTGATTGAGCAGTTTGGAAACAGTCTTTTTGTAGAATCTCCAGGTGGATATTTGGAGCGCATTACGGCCTATAGTGGAAAAGGAAATATATTCACATAAAAACTAGACAGAAGCATTCTGAGAAACTTCTTTGTGATGTGCTCATTCAACTCACAGAGTTGAACTTTTCTTTTGTTTGAGCAGTTTGCAAACAGTCTTTCTGTAGAATCTGCAAGTGGATATTAGGAGTGCATTACGGCCTATAGTGGAAAATGAAATATCTTCACATAAAAACTAGACAGAAACATTATGAGAAACTGCTTTGTGATGCGTGCATTCATTACCAGAGTTGAATTTCTCTTTTGATTGAACAGTTTTGAAACACTCTTTCTGTAGAATCTGAAAGGGATATTTGGAGCGCTTTGCAGCCTATGGTGAAAAAGGAAATATCTTCACATAAAAGCTAGACAGAGCATTCTAAGAAAGTGCTTTGTGACGTGTGCATTCATCTGACAGTGTTGAACCTTTCTTTTGATTGAGCAGATTTGAAACACTCTTATTGTAGAATCTGCAACTGGATATTTGGAGAGTTTGAGGCCACTGGTGGAAAAGCAAATATCTTCACATCAAAACTAGACAGGATCATTATAAGTAATCTCTTTGAGATGCCGTGCATTCAACTCACAGAGTTGGACATTTCCTTTGATTGAGCAGTTTGGAAACAGTCTTTATGCAGTATCTGCAAACGGATATTTGGAGCACTTTCAGGCCTATAGTAGGAAAGGAAATATCTTCACATAAAAACCATACAGAAAATTACTGAGAAACTTCTTAATGATGTGTGCATTCATCTCACAGAGTTGAAACTTTCCTTTGATTGAGCAGTTTGGAAACACTCTTTTAGTAGAAACTGCAAGGGGATATTTGGAGCGTTTTGTGGTCTATGGTAGAAAAGGTTATCTTCACATAAAAATAGAAGCATTCTGAGGAACTTCCTGATGTGTACATTCATCTCAAAGAGTTGAACTTTTCTTTTGATTGAGCAGCTTTGAAAAACTCTTTCTGCAGAATCTGCAAGTTGATATTTGGAGTGCTTTGTGGCCTATAGTAGAAAAGGAAATATCTTTACATAAAACTAGACAGAAGCATTCTGAGAAACTTCTTTGTGATGTGTGCATTCATCTCACGGAGTTGAATCTTTCTTTTGTTTGAGCAGTTTTGAAACTCTCTTTCTGTAGAATCTTCAAGTGGATATTTTCAGCGCTTTGAGGCCTATGGTGGAAAAGAAAATATCTTCACATAAAAACTAGTCAGAACCATTCTGAGAAACTTCTTTGTGACGTGTGCATTCAACTCATGGAGTTCAACCTTTCTTTTGATTCAGCAGTTTGGAAACAGTCTTTTTACAGTATCTGCAAATGGCTATTTGGAGAGCTTTGAGGCCTATGGTGGAAAAGGAATTATCTTCCCATAAAAACTAGACAGCAGCATTCTGAGAAACTTATTTGTGATCTGTGCATTCATCTCCCAGAGTTGAACCTTTCTTTTGATTCAGCAGTTTTGAAACTGTCGTTTTGTAGAATCTGCAAAGGAATATTTGTGAGCCCATTGAGGCTTCTGGGGTGATAGGAAATATCTTCACGTAAAAACTAGACAGATACTTTCTGAGAAACTATTTTGTCATGTGTGTCTTCTACTCACCGGGTTGAAACTTTCTGTTGATTGAGCAGTTTGGAAACAGTCTTTTTGTAGAATCTGCAAATTGATATTTGGAGTGCTTTTGGCCTACGTTGAAAAACGAAATATCTTCCCATAAAAAGTAGGCAGAAGTTTTGGAGAAAGTTATTTTGATGTGTGCATTCATCTCACACAGTTGAAATTTTCTTTTGATTGAGCAGTGTGGATACACTCGTTTTGTAGAGTCTGCAAGTGGATATTTGGAGCACTTTGTGGCCTATAGTGAAAAAGGAAATATCTTCACATAAAAACTAGATAGAAGAATTCTGAGAAACTTCCTTTGAATGGGCGCATTCATCTCACACTGTTGAACTTTTTTTTTGATTGAGCACCTTCTAAACAGTCATTTTGTAGAATATGCAAAGGAATATTTGTGAGCCCATTGATGCCTTCTGGGGAAACAGGAAATATCTTCACATAAAAACGAGACAGAATCTTTCTCAGAAACGTCTTGGTGATGTGTGCATTGATCTCACTGAGTTGAACTTTACTTTGATTGAGCAGTTTGGAAACAGTCTTTTCTAGTATCTGCAAATGGATATTTTAAGCACTCTGAGGCCTACGGTGAAAAAGGAAATATCTTCAATATAAATCAGACAGAAGCATTCATAGAAACTTCTTTGTGATGTGTGCATTCATCTCACCGACTAGAACCTTTCTTTTCATTGAGCAGTTTTGAAACACTCTTTTAGCGGAATCTGCAAGTGTTTATTTGGAGCGCATGAGGAATATGGTGGAAAAGGAATCTTCTTCACATAAAAACGAGACGGAAGCATTCTGAGAAACTTCTCTGTGATGGATGCATTCATTTCACAGAGTTAAACCTTTCCTGTGATTGAGCGGTTTGGAAACAGTAGTTTTTTACAATCTGCAGAAGGATACTTGTGAGCCGATTGAGGTCTATGGGGTGATAAGAAATATGTTCACATAAAAACTAGATAGAAAGTTTCTGAGAAACTTCTTTGTGATATTAGCTTTTATCTCCTAGAGTTGAAAATTTCTTTTTATTGAGCAGTTTGGGAACAGTCTTTTTGTAGTATCTGCAAATGGATATTACCAGTGCTTTGAGGCCTATGGTGAAAAAGGAAATATCTTCACATAAAAACAAGGCGGAAGGATTCTGAGAAACTTCTTTGTGATGTCTGCATTCATCTCACAAAGTTGAACCTTTCTTTTGATTGAGCAGTTTTGAAACACTCTCTTTGTAGTATCTGCAAGTGGATATTTGGAACGCTTTGAGGCCTATAGTGGAAAAGGAAATATCTTCACATAAAAAACTAGAAAGAAGAATTCTGAGAAACTTCCTAGGAAGGTGTATTTTCGTCTCACACTGTTAAACCCGTCTTTTGATTGAGCAGCTTCGATACAGTCATTTAGTAGAATATGAAAGGGAATATTTGAGAGCCCATTGAGGCCTCTGGGGAAATAAGAAATATCTTCACCTAAAAACTAGACAAAATCTTTCTGAGAAACACCCTTGTGATGTGTGCATTCATCATACAGAGTTGAAATTTCTTTTGATTGAGCAGTTTGGATACAGTCATTTGTATTATCTGTAAATGGATATTTGGAGTGTACTGAGGCCTATGGTGAAAAAGGAAATATCCTCACATAAAATTCAGATGGAAGCATTCTTAGAAACTCCTTTGTGATGTGTGCACTCATCTCACAGACTTCAAACTTTCTATTGATTGAGCAGTTTTGAAACACTCTTTTTGTAGAATCTGCCAGTGGATATTTGGAGCGCTCTGTGGCCCATAGTGGAAACGGAAATATCTTCATAAAAAAAATAAACAGAAGCACTTTGAGAAACTTCTCTGTGTTGTATGCAGTCATATCTCAGACATGAAAATTTCTTTGGTACAGCAGTTTTAAAACACTCTTTTTGGAGATTCTGAAAGTAGATATTTGGAGAGACTTGAGGACTACGGTGGAAAAGGAAATATCTTCACAAAAAAACTAGACAGAAACATTCTGAGAAGCTTCTTTGTGATGTGTGCGTCCATCTCGAAGAGTTGAACCTTTCTTTTGATTGCGCATTTTTGAGGCACTCTTTTTGTAGAATCTTCAAGTGGATATTTGGAGGGTTTGTGGCCTGTGGTGGAAAAGCAAATATATTCACATAAAAACTAGATAGAAGCATTCTGAGGAACTTCTTTGGGATGTGCTCATTCACCTCACAGAGTTGAGCTTTTCTTTTGATTGAGCAGTTTGGAAACAGTCTTTTTGTAGAATCTGCAAGTGGATATTTGGAGCGCATGACGGCCTATAGTGGAAAAGGAAATATATTCACATAAAAACTAGACAGAGAAGCATTCTGAGAAACTTCTTTGTGATGTGCTCATTCAACTCACAGAGTTGAACTTTTCTTTTGTTTGAGCAGTTTGCAAACAGTCTTTCTGTAGAATCTGCAAGTGGATATTAGGAGTGCATTACGGCCTATAGTGGAAAATGAAATATCTTCACATAAAAACTAGACAGAAACATTATGAGAAACCGCTTTGTGATGCGTGCATTCATCACCAGAGTTGAGTTTCTCTTTTGATTGAACAGTTTTGAAACACTCTTTCTGTAGAATCTGAAAGGGATATTTGGAGCGCTTTGCAGCCTATGGTGAAAAAGGAAATATCTTCACATAAAAGCTAGACAGAAGCATTCTAAGAAAGTGCTTTGTGACGTGTGCATTCATCTGACAGTGTTGAACCTTTCTTTCGATTGAGCAGTTTTGAAACACTCTTATTGTAGAATCTGCAAGTGGATATTTGGAGAGTTTGAGGCCACTGGTGGAAAAGCAAATATCTTCACATCAAAACTAGACAGGATCATTATAAGTAATCTCTTTGAGATGCGTGCATTCAACTCACAGAGTTGGACATTTCCTTTGATTGAGCAGTTTGGAAACAGTCTTTATGCAGTATCTGCAAACGGATATTTGGAGCACTTTCAGGCCTATAGTAGGAAAGGAAATATCTTCACATAAAAACCATACAGAAAAATTACTGAGACACTACTTAATGTTGTGTGCATTCATCTCACAGAGTTGAAACTTTCTTTTGATTGAGCCGTTTGGAAACACTCTTTTAGTAGAAACTGCAAGGGGATATTTGGAGCGTTTTGTGGTCTATGGTAGAAAAGGATATATCTTCACATAAAAATAGAAGCATTCTGAGGAACTTCATGATGTGTGCATTCATCTCAAAGAGTTGAACTTTTCTTTTGATTGAGCAGCTTTGAAAATCTCTTTCTGCAGAATCTGCAAGTTGATATTTGGAGTGCTTTGTGGCCTATAGTAGAAAAGGAAATATCTTTACATAAAACTAGACAGAAGCATTCTGAGAAACTTCTTTGTGATGTGTGCATTCATCTCACAGAGTTGAATCTTTCTTTTGTTTGAGCAGTTTTGAAACTCTCTTTTTGTAGAATCTTCAAGTGGATATTTTCAGCGCTTTGAGGCCTATGGTGGAAAAGAAAATATCTTCACATAAAAACTAGTCAGAAGTATTCTGAGAAACTTCTTTGTGACGTGTGCATTCAACTCATGGAGTTCAACCTTTCTTTTGATTCAGCAGTTTGGAAACAGTCTTTTTACAGTATCTGCAAATGGCTATTTGGAGAGCTTTGAGGCCTATGGTGGAAAAGGAAATCTCTTCCCATAAAAACTAGACAGCAGCATTCTGAGAAACTTATTTGTGATCTGTGCATTCATCTCACAGAATTGAACCTTTCTTTTGATTCAGCAGTTTTGAAACTGTCGTTTTGTAGAATCTGCAAAGGAATATTTGTGAGCCCATTGAGGCTTCTGGGGTGATAGGAAATATCTTCACATTAAAACTAGACAGATACTTTCTGGGAAACTATTTTGTCATGTGTGACTTCTACTCACCGGGTTGAAACTTTCTCTTGATTGAGCAGTTTGGAAACAGTCTTTTTGTAGAATCTGCAAATTGATATTTGGAGTGCTTTTGGCCTACGTTGAAAAACGAAATATCTTCCCATAAAGAGTAGGCAGAAGTTTTGGAGAAATTTATTTTGATGTGTGCATTCATCTCAAACAGTTGAAATTTTCTTTTGTTTGAGCAGTGTGGATACACTCGTTTCGTAGAGTCTGCAAGTGGATATTTGGAGCACTTTGTGGCCTATAGTGAAAAAGGAAATATCTTCACATAAAAACTAGATAGAAGAATTCTGAGAAACTTCCTTTGAATGGGCGCATTCATCTCACACTGTTGAACTTTTTTTTTGATTGGGCACCTTCTAAACAGTCATTTTGTAGAATATGCAAAGGAATATTTGTGAGCCCATTGATGCCTCTGGGGAAACAGGAAATATCTTCACATAAAAACGAGACAGAATCTTTCTCAGAAACTTCTTTGTGATATGTGCATTCATCTCACTGAGTTGAACTTTATTTTGATTGAGCAGTTTGGAAACAGTCTTTTTCTAGTATCTGCAAATGGATATTTTAAGCGCTCTGAGGCCTACGGTGAAAAAGGAAATATCTTCAATATAAATCAGACAGAAGCATTCATAGAAACTTCTTTGTGATGTGTGCATTCATCTCACCGACTAGAACCTTTCTTTTGATTGAGCAGTTTTGAAACACTCTTTTAGCGGAATCTGCAAGTGTTTCTTTGTAGCGCATGAAGAATATGGTGGAAAAGGAATCTTCTTCACATAAAAACGAGACGGAAGCATTCTGAGAAACTTCTCTGTGATGGATGCATTCATTTCCCAGAGTTAAACCTTTCCTGTGATTGACCGGTTTGGAAACAGTAGTTTTTTACAATCTGCAGAAGGATACTTGTGAGCCGATTGAGGTCTATGGGGTGATAAGAAATATGTTCACATAAAAACTAGATAGAAAGTTTCTGAGAAACTTCTTTGTGATATTTGCTTTTATCTCCTAGAGTTGAAACTTTCTTTTTATTGAGCAGTTTGGGGACAGTCTTTTTGTAGTATCTGCAAATGGATATTACCAGTGCTTTGAGGCCTATGGTGAAAAAGGAAATATCTTCACATAAAAACAAGGCAGAAGCATTCTGAGAAGCTTCTTTTTGATGTCTGCATTCATCTCGCAGTGTTGAAACTTTCTTTTGATTGAGCAGTTTTGAAACGCTCTATTTGTAGTATCTGCAAGTGGATATTTGGAACGCTTTGAGGCCTATAGTGGAAAAGGAAATATCTTCACATAAAAAACTAGAAAGAAGAATTCTGAGAAACTTCCTAGGAAGGTGTATTTTTGTCTCACACTGTTAAACCCGTCTTTTGATTGAGCAGCTTCGATACAGTCATTTAGTAGATTATGAAAAGGAATATTTGAGAGCCCATTGAGGCCTCTGGGGAAATAAGAAATATCTTCACCTAAAAACTAGACAAAATCTTTCTGAGAAACACCCTTGTGATGTGTGCATTCATCATGCACAGTTGAACTTTCTTTTGATTGAGCAGTTTGGATACAGTCATTTGTATTATCTGTAAATGGATATTTGGAGTGTATTGAGGCCTATGGTGAAAAAGGAAATATCCTCACATAAAATTCAGATGGAAGCATTCTTAGAAACTCCTTTGTGATGTGTGCACTCATCTCACAGACTTCAAACTTTCTATTGATTGAGCAGTTTTGAAACACTCTTTTTGTAGAATCTGCCAGTGGATATTTGGAGCGCTCTGTGGCCCATAGTGGAAAAGGAAATATCTTCATAAAAAAAATAAACAGAAGCACTTTGAGAAACTTCTCTGTGTTGTATGCAGTCATAACTCAGACATGAAACTTTCTTTGGTACAGCAGTTTTAAAACACTCTTTTTGGAGATTCTGAAAGTAGATATTTGGAGAGACTTGAGGACTACGGTGGAAAAGGAAATATCTTCACAAAAAAACTAGACAGAAACATTCTGAGAAGCTTCTTTGTGATGTGTGCGTCCATATCGAAGAGTTGAACCTTTCTTTTGATTGAGCATTTTTGAAGCACTCTTTTTGTAGAATCTTCAAGTGGATATTTGGAGGGTTTGTGGCCTGTGGTGGAAAAGGAAATATATTCACATAAAAACTAGATAGAAGCATTCTGAGAAACTTCTTTCTGATGTGCTCATTCAACTCACAGAGTTGAGCTTTTCTTTTGATTGCGCAGTTTGGAAACAGTCTTTTTGTAGAAACTGCAAGTGGATATTTGGAGCGCATTACGGCCTATAGTGGAAAAGGAAATATATTCACATAAAAACTAGACAGAAGCATTCTGAGAAACTTCTTTGTGATGTGCTCATTCAACTCACAGAGTTGAACTTTTCTTTTGTTTGAGCAGTTTGCAAACAGTCTTTTTGTAGAATCTGCAAGTGGATATTAGGAGTGCATTACGGCCTATAGTGGAGAATGAAATATCTTCACATAAAAACTAGACAGAAACATTATGAGAAACTGCTTTGTGATGCGTGCATTCATCACCAGAGTTGAGTTTCTCTTTTGATTGAACAGTTTTGAAACACTCTTTCTGTAGAATCTGAAAGGGGTATTTGGAGCGCTTTGCAGCCTATGGTGAAAAAGGAAATATCTTCACATAAAAGCTAGACAGAAGCATTCTAAGAAAGTGCTTTGTGACGTGTGCATTCATCTCACAGTGTTGAACCTTTCTTTTGATTGAGCAGTTTTGAAACACTCTTATTGTAGAATCTGCAAGTGGATATTTGGAGAGTTTGAGGCCACTGGTGGAAAAGCAAATATCTTCACATCAAAACTAGACAGAATCATTAGAAGTAATCTCTTTGAGATGCGTGCATTCAACTCACAGAGTTGGACATTTCCTTTGATTGAGCAGTGTGGAAACAGTGTTTTTGCAGTATCTGCAAACGGATATTTGCAGCACTTTCAGGCCTATAGTAGGAAAGGAAATATCTTCACATAAAAACTAGACAGAAAATTACTGAGAAACTTCTTAATGATGTGTGCATTCATCTCACAGAGTTGAAACTTCTTTTGATTGAGCAGTTTGGAAACACTCTTTTAGTAGAAACTGCAAGGGGATATTTGGAGCGTTTTGTGGTCTATGGTAGAAAAGGATATATCTTCACATAAAAATAGAAGCATTCTGAGGAACTTCATGATGTGTGCATTCATCTCAAAGAGTTGAACTTTTCTTTTGATTGAGCAGCTTTGAAAAACTCTTTCTGCAGAATCTGCAAGTTGATATTTGGAGTGCTTTGTGGCCTATAGTAGAAAAGGAAATATCTTTACATAAAACTAGACAGAAGCATTCTGAGAAACTTCTTTGTGATGTGTGCATTAATGTCACAGAGTTGAACCTTTCTTTTGTTTGAGCAGTTTTGAAACTCTCTTTTTGTAGAATCTTCAAGTGAATATTTTTAGCACTTTGAGGCCTGTGGTGGAAAAGAAAACATCTTCACATAAAAACTAGTCAGAAACTTTCTGAGAAACTTCTTTCAGATGTGTGCTTTCATCTCACAGATTTGAACTTTTCTTTTGATTGAGCAGTTTTGAAACAGTCTTTTTGTACAATCTATAAGTGGATATTTGGGGCACTTTCAGGCCTATGGTGGAAAAAGACACATCTTCCCATAAAAACTAGACAGCAGCATTCTGAGAAACTTATTTGTGATCTGTGCATTCATCTCACAGAGTTGAACCTTTCTTTTGATTCAGCAGTTTTGAAACTGTCGTTTTGTAGAATCTGCAAAGGAATATTTGTGAGCCCATTGAGGCTTCTGGGGTGATAGGAAATATCTTCACATAAAAACTAGACAGATACTTCCTGAGAAACTATTTTGTCATGTGTGACTTCTACTCACCGGGTTGAAACTTTCTCTTGATTGAGCAGTTTGGAAACAGTCTTTTTGTAGAATCTGCAAATTGATATTTGGAGTGCTTTTGGCCTACGTTGAAAAACGAAATATCTTCCCATAAAAAGTAGGCAGAAGTTTTGGAGAAATTTATTTTGATGTGTGCATTCATCTCACACAGTTGAAATTTTCTTTTGATTGAGCAGTGTGGATACACTCGTTTTGTAGAGTCTGCAAGTGGATATTTGGAGCACTTTGTGGCCTACAGTGAAAAAGGAAATATCTTCACATAAAAAGTAGATAGAAGAATTCTGAGAAACTTCCTTTGAATGGGCGCATTCATCTCACACTGTTGAACTTTTTTTTTGATTGAGAACCTTCTAAACAGTCATTTTGTAGAATATGCAAAGGAATATTTGTGAGCCCATTGATGCCTCTGGGGAAACAGGAAATATCTTCACATAAAAACGAGACAGAATCTTTCTCAGAAACGTCTTGGTGATGTGTGCATTCATCTCACTGAGTTGAACTTTACTTTGATTGAGCAGTTTGGAAACAGTCTTTTCTAGTATCTGCAAATGGATATTTTAAGCACTCTGAGGCCTACGGTGAAAAAGGAAATATCTTCAATATAAATCAGACAGAAGCATTCATAGAAACTTCTTTGTGATGTGTGCATTCATCTCACCGACTAGAACCTTTCTTTTGATTGAGCAGTTTTGAAACACTCTTTTAGCGGAATCTGCAAGTGTTTATTTGGAGCGCATGAGGAATAGGGTGGAAAAGGAATCTTCTTCACATAAAAACGAGACGGAAGCATTCTGAGAAACTTCTCTGTGATGGATGCATTCATTTCACAGAGTTAAACCTTTCCTGTGATTGAGCGGTTTGGAAACAGTAGTTTTTTTACAATCTGCAGAAGGATACTTGTGAGCCGATTGAGGTCTATGGGGTGATAAGAAATATGTTCACATAAAAACTAGATAGAAAGTTTCTGAGAAACTTCTTTGTGATATTTGCTTTTATCTCATAGAGTTGAAAATTTCTTTTTATTGAGCAGTTTGGGAACAGTCTTTTTGTAGTATCTGCAAATGGATATTACCAGTGCTTTGAGGCCTATGGTGAAAAAGGAAATATCTTCACATAAAAACAAGGCAGAAGGATTCTGAGAAACTTCTTTTTGATGTCTGCATTCATCTCACAGAGTTGAACCTTTCCTTTGATTGAGCAGTTTTGAAACGCTCTATTTGTAGTATCTGCAAGTGGATATTTGGAACGCTTTGAGGCCTATAGTGGAAAAGGAAATATCTTCACATAAAAAACTAGAAAGAAGAATTCTGAGAAACTTCCTAGGAAGGTGTATTTTCGTCTCACACTGTTAAACCCGTCTTTTGATTGAGCAGCTTCGATACACTCATTTAGTAGAATATGAAAGGGAATATTTGAGAGCCCATTGAGGCCTCTGGGGAAATAAGAAATATCTTCACCTAAAAACTAGACAAA